>NC_000022.11:37800473-37951988 GCF_000001405.40 Homo sapiens | reverse complement strand
ACAAAATTAGCCGGGCGTGGTGGCGCATGTCTGTAATCCCAGCTACTTGGGAGGCTGAGGCAGGAGAATTCCTTGAACCCAGGAGGTGGAGATTGCAGTGAGCTGAGGTCGCGCCACTGCACTCCAGCCTGGGCAACAAGATGGAAGCTCCATCTCAAAAAAAAAAAAAAAAAAAAAAAAAAAAAAAAAAAGAGAAAGAGGAAAAAATATTTAACAGAGGGCAGAAATTTTATTAAACCAGCAAAAATTCTTATCATACAGCTAATATAGAAGGATAACAATAAAATAAAATATATAGAATTTTAGGTGGTCGTAAGTGCTATAGAAAAAACGAAGCAGGAAAGATAGAGAAGGCATGCTCAGTGCAGAATGGGGCTAGGATGTAGGGTTTTAAATTTCAGTAGGGTGTCAGGTGAAGGCATCCGCCTGCAGCCCAAGAGGCCTCATAGAATGCTTTGTCGTGCAGTGATGATGAAGGAATCCAAACTGACGAACATCCAGCAGCGCCACATCATGGACATCATGAAAAGTAAGGGGCAGTCCACAGAGGCTTCCTGGACAGAGGGATCTGGGGCCACACTTTTAATGCTTCTCCATGTTAAGGGAGAGAGGACCTCATATAAAAAAAACAAAGACAGCCGGGCACGTGGCTCATGCCTGTAATTCCAACACTGGGAGGCTGAGGTGGGAGGATGGCTTAAGCCCAGGAGTTCAAGACCAGCCCGGGCAACGCCACAAGCCACAAGACCTCATCTCCACAAAACCTTTTTTTTTTTTGAGACAGAGTCTCACTCTGTCGCCCAGGCTGGAGTGCAGTGGCGCAATCTCGGCTCACTGCAACTTCTGCCTCCCGGGTTCATGCCATTCTCCTGCCTCAGCCTCCCAAGTAGCTGAGACTATAGGTGCCCACCACCACGCCTGGCTAATTTTTTGTATTTTTAGTAGAGACGGCGTTTCATCGTGTTAGCCAGGATGGTCTCGATCTCCTGACCTCATGATCCGCCCACCTCGGCCTCCCAAAGTGCTGGGACTACAGGAGTGAGCCACCACGCCTGGCCAACTTTTTTGTTTTGTTTTGTTTTGAGATGAGTCTCTCTCTCTGTCGCCCAGGCTGGAGTGCAGTGGCATGATCTCGGCTCACTACAACCTCCGCCTCCTGGGTTCAGGCAATTCTCCTGCCTCAGCATCCTGACTAGCTAGGATTACAGGCGTGCGCCACCATGCCCGGCTTAATTTTTGTATTTTTAGTAGAGACTGGGTTTCACCATGTTGGCCAGGCTGGTCTCGAACTCCTGACCTCGTGATCTGCCCGCCTCGGCCTCCCAAAGTGCTGGGATTCCAGGCATGAGCCACTGCACCCAGCCCCCAAAATTTTTTAAAATTAGCCAGGTGTGGTGGTGCCAACCTGTAGTCCCAGCTACTCAGGAGGTTGAGGTGGGAGGATCACTTGACCCTGGGAGGTCAAGGCTGCAATGAGCTGTGATTGCACCACTGCACTCCAGCCTGGGCGACCGAGTGGAGCCTAATCTCAAAATAATTAAAATAAAATAAAATTAAATTAAAATAAAAACAGGTCAGGCCGGGTGTGGGAGCTCACACCTGTAATCCCAGCACTTTGGGAGGCTGAGGCGGGCAGATCACCTGAGGTCAAGAGTTCAAGACCAGCCTGGCCAACATGGTAAAACCCTGTCTCTATGCCAATACAAAAATTAGCTGGGCATGATGGCGGATGCCTGTAATACCAGCTACTCAGGAGGCTGAGGCAGGAAAATCACTTGAACCCAGCAGGCAGAGGGTGCAGCGAGCCGAGACCATACCACTGCACTCCAGTGTGGGTGACAGAGCAAGACATCGTCTCAAAAACAAAAAATAAAAAATAAAAAAAAACAGGTCAGCTGTGGTGGCTTATACCTATAATCCTATCACTTTGGGAGGCTAAGGCAGGAGGATTGCTTGAGCCCAAGAGTTCAAGACCAGCCTGGCAAAACACATACATACTGGGGTGTACCTGTAGTCCCAGCTACTCAGGAAGCTGAGGCAGGAGAATCACATGAGCCCAGGAGTTCAAGGCCAGCCTGGGCAACACAGTGAAACCTCTCTCTACAGCAAAATTTTTGGGTGTGTGACCAAAAAAATTAATACTTCTGACCGCTCGCTCCTGGGGAATTGACCTTGTAGAGGCTGGATGGGCAGAAAAGGTAGACAGGCACCCAGATCAAAACAGTGGATGAGCCAGGTGCGGTGGCTCACGCCTGTAATCCCAGCACATTCAGAGGCCGAGACAGGCAGATCACCCAAAGTCAGGAGTTCAAGACCACCCTGGCCAACATGGTGAAACTCCACCCCTACTAAAAATACAAAAATTAGCCAGGTGTGGTGACCCGGGCCTGTAGTCCCAGCTACTTGGGAAGCTGAAGCGGGAGAATAGCTTGAACCCAGGAGGCGGAGGTTGCAGTGAGCTGAGATCACACCATTGCACTCTAGCCTGGGTGACAAGAACAAAACTCTGTCTCAAAAAAAAAAAAAAAAAAAAAAAAAATTAGCCAGGCGTGGTGGCACACACCATAATCCCAGCTACTCAGGAGACTGAGGCACAAGAATCGCTTGTACCCAGGAGGTGTAGGTTGCAGAGAGCCAAGATCATGCCACTGCACTCCAGCCTGGGCAACAGAGGGAGACTCTGTCTCAAAAAAAAAAAAAAAAACAATGGATGGGACCTGCTCTAAGCTGGGCTTTATGGCAGTTGAGAGGTGGGGTCAACTGACCAGACAGGTGACACACTTGGATCGCCTGGGGGAGAAGCCCCAGGGATGGCCAAGCGGGGGGATGGACAGCAGGAGGGATAGGTACCTGCTGTCATCCAAACTGTCCCTGCTTGTCCATGCACCACACAGAAAGTTTTAGGAACCCATCCATAGAAATTAAAGCATCGGTACAAAGATTTGATGTACAAGAATGTTTATTGCAGCATTGTTTGAAGTAGTAAAAAACAAACCTAGAAATAACCTAAATTTCTGAAACAAGGAGGTGAGCTGAATAAATAATGTATCCATTCTAAGGATACTAGTATATAGCTATAAAAAATAAGTTATATATAAATGGATTGATCTGGACAGATGTCCATGAAAAAATGTTAAGTGAAAAGAGTCTGTTATTTTAATATATTACAGTACGATCCAGTGTTTGAAAGAATCTTATATGCACATATATCTTTGAACATGTTTGTATAAGCATCAAAAAGGAAGGAGACCACCAAACTGTTACCATTATCACTCATTCATTATAGAGGGGTGGGACTGGAAGGAAGAAGAGAAGACTCCTTGTACTGTTTGACTTGTTTTGTTTTGTTTCATTTTGTTTTGTTTTTTGAGACAGAGTCTCACTCTGTTGCCCAGGCTGGAGTGCAGTGGCTCAATCTCAGCTCACTGCAACCTCCACCTCCTGGGTTCAAGAGATTCTCCTGCCTCAGCCTTCCCAGTAGCTAGGATTACAGGCCTGCATCACCACGCCCAGCTAATTTTTGTTTTTTGGGGGTTTTTTTGAGACAGTCTTGCTCAGTCACCCAGGCTGGAATGCAGTGGTGCAATCTTGGCTTACTGCAACCTCCACCTCCTGGGTTCAAGTGATTCTCCCGCCTCAGCCTCCCAAGTAGCTAGGATTACAGGCACCCGTCATAATGCCTGGCTAATTTTTTTTGTTTTTCTTTAGACATGGGGTTTCACCATGTTGGCCAGGCTGGTCTCAAACTCCTGACCTCCAGTGATCTGCCCACCTCAGCCTCCCAAAGTGTTGGGATTACAGGCGTGAGCCACTGCACCTGGCCTTTTGACTTCTTTTAACAGGTAGGTATTACCTTTATTTTTATTCTATTAATTTTTTTTTGAGACGAAGTCTCGCTCTGTCGCCCAGGCTGGAGTGCAGTGGTGCAATCTCAGCTCACTGCAAGTCCCACCTCCCAGGTTCATGCCATTCTCCGGCCTCAGCCTCCCGAGCAGTAGGGACTATAGGCACCCGCCACCACGCCCAGCTAATTTTTTGTATTTTTAGTACAGACAGGGTTACACCGTGTTAGCCAGGGTGGTCTCGAATTCCTGACCTCAAGTGATTACCCATCTCGGCCTCCCAAAGTGCTGGGATTACAGGCATGAGCCACCATGCCCGGCCAACTTTTATTTTTAAAAAGTGGCCAGGTGCAATAGCTCATGCCTATAATCCTAGCACTTTGGGAGGCCGAGGTGGGTGGATCACTTGAGGTCAGGAGTCCAAGACCAGCCTGGCCAACATGGCCTGTCTCTACTAAAAATACAAAAATTAGCCAAGCATGGTGGCGCATGCCTGTAATCCCAGTTACTTGGGAGACTGAGGCAGGAGAATCGCTTGAACCTAAGAGGCAGAGGTTGCAGTAAGCCGAGATCGCGCCGCTGCACTCCAGCCTGAGTGACAGAGCAAGACTCAGACTCAAAAAAAAAAAAAAAAAAAAAAAAAAGCCATGTGGGTCCTCCCACCCCAACTCTTCGTTCCCCAGGAGGAGATGCTTTGCCCCTACAGTGCAGCCCAACATCCAGCCAGAGAGTCTTACCTTCCAAGCAAATAGCCTCGCCCATCTACCTGCCTCCCATCCTCGCAGCCCGTCCCCACCTCCGGCCTGCCAACATGTGTCAAGCCAATGGGGCCTACAGCCGGGAGCAGTTCAAGCCTCAAGCCACCAGTAAGTGAGGGTCTCAGCTAGGGCCTTTCTCCATCTCCCTGGGGGAGGACAAGGGAGAGGGACGCAAGCAGCCCACAGGGCAGGTGGGAAGGTAGCTAATCAAATCCCCATGCACTTTGTACCAATGCTCTTGAGCCTCAGCACATGTTGGCTTAGGGGTATTCAGGGCGCAGAGGAAACCAGTCAGATGGTCCTTTTTTTTTTATTTTTCCAGAACTCAGGATTAACTGAAATCTACCACTTCCTGATGATAGGGGCTATCAGGGCTCAATGCCACAGCCTAACCTCTCCCTGCAGCCCCTATACATAAGTTGCCACTACAGGCATCGCCGAGGCCCCAGGTTCCTGAGCTTTCTTAGCCTTGCTCTGCTAAGTTTTGACAAAACTTTTTTTTTTTTTTTTTTTTTAAAGACAGAGCCTTACTCTGTGCCCAGGTTGGAGTGCAGTGGTGCTATCTCGGCTCACTGTAACCTCCGCCTCCCGGGTTCAAGCAATTCTCATGTGTCAGCCTCCTGAGTAGCTGGGATTACAAGTGTCCACCACCATGTCCAGTTAATTTTTTTAGTAGAGATGGGGATTCACCATGTTGGCCAGGCTGGTCTTGAACTCCTGGCCTCAAGTGATCCGCCCACCCTGGCCTCCCAAAGTGTTGGGATTACAGGCACAAACGACCGCTCCCGGCCTTTTTTTTTTTTTTTTTTTGAGACAGTGTCGCTCTCATTCTGTCACCCATTCTGTAATACAGTGGCATGATCATAGCTCACTGCAGCCAGAACTCCTGAGCTCAAGCAATCCTCCTGCCTCAGTCTCCAGAATAGCTGGGACCACAGGTGTTCCCCACACCCAGCTTTTTTTGAGACGGAGTCTCGCGCTGTCACCCAGGCTGGAGTACAGTGGCACGATCTCGGCTCACTGCAACCTCCACCTCCTGGGTTCAGGCAATTCTCATGCCTCAGCCTCCCAAGTAGCTAGGATTACAGGCACCATCACCATGCCCTGCCCAGCTAATTTTTTTTTTTTTTGAGACTGAGTCTTGCTCTGTCGCCCAGGCTGGAGTGCAGTGGCACCATCTCGGCTCACTGCAAGCTCCACCTCCCAGGTTCACGCCATTCTCCTGCCTCAGCCTCCCGAGTAGCTGGGACTACAGGCACCTGCCATCACGCCGGGCTAATTTTTTTGTATTTTTAGTAGAGGTGGGGTCTCACCGTGTTAGCCAGGATGGTCTTGATCTCCTGACCTCGTGATCCGCCCACCTCGGCCTCCCAAAGTGCTGGGATTACAGGCATGAGCTACCGCGCCCGGCCCATGCCCAGCTAATTTTTTGTATTTTTAGTAGAGATGGGGTTTCACCATGTTGGCTGGGCTGGTCTCGAACTCCTGACCTCATGATTTGCCTGCCTCAGCCTCCCAAAGTGCTAGGATTACAGGTGTGAGCCACCGTGCCTGGACTTTTTTTTTTTTTTTTTTTTTAGAGATAGGATATCGGTCAGGCGTGATGGCTCATGCCTGTAATTCCAGCACTTTGGGAGGCCGAGGCTGGCAGATCGTTTGAGCTCATGTGTTTGAGACCAGCCTGGGCAACATGGCAAAACTCCATCTCTACTAAAAAAAAAAAAATACAAAAATTAGCTGGGCACGATGACGTCCACCTGTAGTCCCAGCTACTCGGGAGGCTGAGGTGGGAGGATGACTTGAGCCCGAGAGGTTGCAGTGAGCCGAAATTGTATCACTGCACTCCAGTCTGGGCGACAGAGTCAGACCTTGTCTCAAAAAAAAAAAAAAAAAAGAAGAAAAAAAGAGATGGGGGTCTCACTACATCCATTAGGCTGGTCTTGAACTCCTGGTCCTAAGCAATCCTCCCACCTCAGCCTCCCAAAGTGTTGGAATTACAGACCATACCCAAACTCTTTTCTTGGTTCTTTCCACCTCTTCCTGCCTCTCTTGACAGTACAGTATTGCTCAGGAGAACCCAGGGTAGCAGCAGGTGTACGGAAGCCCTGTCTGCATGACCAGGCACCCTGCAGCAAGCACGTGCACTTGGGAACACAGACCATGAATAAGGGCACCCTTTACAGCCTAACTAGGCCATTTCTTTTTGGCCCTACAGGGGATTTGGAGAAGGAGAAACAAAGACTCCAAAATATCTTTGCCACAGGGAAGGACATGGAGGAACGGAAAAGAAAGGCCCCTCCTGCACGACAGAAGGCTCCAGCCCCTGAGCTAGACCGATTTGAAGAGCGTAAGACTCCGACGGACCAGTCATGCTGGGGGTGGGGGTAATGTGAGGAGGGGGCCCAGAATTGGATGGAGCAGTCAGGGGATCCCTGAGGGCCAAGGGCCAACAAGTGAGAAACACTATTTATTTATTTATTTATTTATTTTGAGACAGTCTTGCTCTTATTGCCCAGGCTAGAGTGCAGTGGCGTGATCTGGGCTCACTGCAGCCTCCACTTCCCAGGTTCAAGCAATCCCTCCTGCCTCAGCCACCTGAGTAGCTGGGATTACCAGCGCCCGCCACCATGCCTGGCTAATTTTTGTATTTTTAGTAGACACGGGGTTTCACCATGTTGGTCAGGCTGGTCTCGAACTCCTGACCTCGTGATCCACCTGCCTTGGCCTCCCAAAGTGCTGGGATTATAGGCGTGAGCCACCGCGCCCGGCCTAGAAACACTATTTGACAATAGAACCACTTCCTCTCCTCAAGAGAGGCAACCCGCTGCCTGCATCCCTCATGGGAACCTGACAGCCCTCTCCTCTGTCCAGTGGTGAAGGAAATCCAGGAGAGGAAAGAATTCCTGGCTGACATGGAGGCCCTGGGACAGGGCAAACAGTACCGAGGAATCATCCTTGCTGAAATCTCCCAGGTAGGAGAAACAACCAGGAAAGTGGGGAGGGGAAGGGCCCAGCGCCAAGTGCGAATGGAAATACAGGGTCTGCTGTGGCAGGGTTCAGGGGTCAGGCTCTAGCTCACTGCTGTGACAGCTCCTCAGGTTCCTAGCCCTGATACACCTGCTTTCCCTGATGCCCTTTGCAGAAACTCCGGGAAATGGAAGACATTGACCACAGAAGGAGTGAGGAACTTAGGAAGGGTCTTGCCACCACTTAATCTGTCTCCAGAGACGGGCAGGGTAGCCCAAGCTCGACCACTGGAGTCCACTCCTCTGCCAGGCAGGGCCATCCTCAGGCCAGCCCATCCTACCAGCCTTCTGCCACGTCAGGTGGTGGCATAGCACTGCCCTGCAGTACCCCAAGGCATACTCAGCAGCCTAGCCCCTGCCCCGGAATGCAGATGGAGCCTCTGAGACTCACAGCCCCGTCCGCAGAGAAGCAAAGCCCGAGCATCCCTACTAGGACATGTGTCTAAAGGTATCCACTGGGCCTGCTTCCCACCACTTCTGACCTGTGGCCTGTTCATTTAGTTTTCTGAATTCAGGAATGAATATGATTCCTTTCTTCCTGTTTTAGGATTTACTTATTTGATTTCTTACCGCCTTAGGCAAGTATTCAACCACAATGATTAACTGGCCAATAAAACATATTTAACGTGGGTCATTACAAGCACCATTTTGTTTTCAGAGGGATAAGCTTATTTGTTCAAGGCATTAGACTTTGTCAAGCCCAGATGGTTTCTAGCTACCTGTTTGCATATTTCAAGTGGCAACGGGAACCAACCTCTTGGGCACCCCATGGCTGGCTGCTGTGGCGGGTGCTGAATTCCACTCTGTTAATGATCTCAATAAACCTCTGCAACGGTTCATTATCCCTCTGTGAAAACTAAGTCTCAACAAGATACCACAACCAAGGGCATTTACCTGGCAAGCAGTGCATTCAGGATTAAAAGTTGGCTTTAGCTTTATGTCTTTCCACTATACCCATGGCCACAGAAAGAAACATGAAAAGGTGGGAGCGACCTAGAGCCCTGGCCTGGGAGTTCCAATCCCTGCATGTGCCGCGTGACCTTTCTTGGGCAAAACCCACCAGCTCCGTGCTTGTGCATCTGCGAGGCCCTGCTGGGAAGGAGTCACCTGACACCTTGTCCTGTACACAGCACATCTGTCCCCCTCCCCTCTGGCTCCTGACACCCACGATCCCTGCCTTCTCCGGTATTCTGTCATTTGCTTGTCCCACTAAATCACCAAAATATTTTGGAAATATCAACCTTGTCTCGGGCACCTGGAGGGAGTCCCATAATCCCATCAGGTCACATGACCCAAGTTTCGGTTTGCAGAATAAAACGGCCCTGTAAATGGTGAGGCCCCAATCAAGGGCCGGCTCAGGGACATCCCATGGAAAGCCTCTGTGTCCACACACCCTCAAGAACCTGAGGGCAGAGGGTGCAATCTAATGGGAACAGTTGTCCTCGACCTCGAAGGCCCCATCATGTGGTCAGGAGGCAGCAAACCAGAGAACCCCCCAGGACAAATCCAGTCCACCCTGGACACACAGTATCAGCCAACCCTTGATTGAAATTCAGGCTAGTGGCCGGGCGTGGTGGCTCACGCCTGTAATCCCAGCACTTTGGGAGGCCAAGGTGGGTGGATCACAAGGTCAGGAGATCGAGACCATCCTGGTTAACACGGTGAAACCCCGTCTCTACTAAAAATACAAAAAATTAGCCAGGCGTCGTAGCATGCGCCTGTAGTCCCAGCTGCTCAGGAGGCCGAGGCAGGAGGATGGCGTGAACCCAGGAGGCGGAGCTTGCAGTGAGCTGAGATCGCGCCACTGCACTCCAGCCTGGGCGACAGAGCGAGACTCTGTCTCAAAAAAAAAAAAAAAAAATTCAGGCTAGCTTTCAGCATTTACAAATTACACACACATAAAATCTGGATTTCTAGCTTCTTATGACAAAGGATCTGGCAACACCGGGCCCACATTCAGCCCCACAGGCCACAGGTGACTTGACTTGCCTCCAGTTCACCCCTGCCCCTGCCAGCTTTGTCTCCTGACACCGAAACAGCCCGTCAGAGCTGTCACTCGGGTTCATGCGTGTTACCTGTCTGGCCCTGGAAAGGCCCTGGAGTTGGTGGCGCCAGCTCCAGGTCAACAGGCATGTTTAGAAGGAGCCTGCCAGGGGCTGCATGGCCGAGGAGCCACCTCTCCCTGCAGAGGAAAGGGATCCTGCCCAGTGGCAGGCGGTGAGGGCAGAGATCCCTCTTGGAGGATGGCCCCAACATGGCCTCTGGGCGACCAGAGATGTTCAGCCACCAGGTGTGGCAGAGGCAGGTGGGAAGGCAAACAAGGCTGCCGCTGTGGCCCGAGGCTGCAGGGCACTGGCAGTTGAGGTTGTCTGTTTATTGGTGAGGAAACTCCTCGAGAGTTAATACAGTGTAATCTTTTCCCAGAGGTGTGTAGAGGGAAGGGGGCCTAGAGGCATCCCAGAGATAGCTTATAGCAACAGTGCTTTGACCAAGAGCTGCTGGGCACATTTCCTGCAGAAAAGGTGGCGGTCCCCATCACTCCTCCTCTCCCATAGCCATCCCAGAGGGGTGAGTAGCCATCAGGCCTTCGGTGGGAGGGAGTCAGGGAAAGAACAGACAACAGAGCAGACAGACCAGTGATGACCATGGGCGGGAGCGAGCCTCTTCCCTGGACCGGGGTGGCAGAGGAAAGCCTAAGTGAGGGGTCAGACTATAAACGTTAAGGAACCGAGATGAGCACCTGCTTCAAGTGCACCCTTCCTACCTGACAACCAGGGACCAGAACTGCAGCCTGGGGACAGCACTGGGAGCAGCTAACAGAGCACTCACCTGCCCCAGCATGGCCGTCGCAGCCCTGGTCCTGGCAAGGGAGGCTCCCTGTGGAGTAAGGGGAGACGAGGGAAGCCGCTCCTGGAACTGTGAGGGAGAGAGGGATGGATTTGCCCGTCAGGCCCATTCACGTCTGACAGTACAGGCCACTCAGTCATAAACTCAAACTTAACTGAAGACTTCAGAAACAGAGTTCCTGAGTGAGGGAAACTGAGATCCAAGGGCGCCTGCACAGGACAGGAAGACAGAGACTCAGAGCCAGGGATGGGGCAGGAAGAAGCCAGTGTGGCCCAGCGCCACTTGCTGGCCTGCCTGGAAGAGCAGAACCCTGGAGGCGGAGACCCAGCCCAGAGCTCATGGCAGGGGCTGGGCAGGGTGAGGGGCGGAAGTGCTCAGCAGGCGCCCCTCCCTGGACCCTGGGACCCTATTTGCCCCTTGGGTCCGTCACAGCATCCGCAGTCATCAGAATCAGGTTGGGCAGGGCTGAATCACCGCTGCCTGGGGCTCGGAGAAGAAACAAGAGATTCTTTGGCCCAGAGCAGTCAGAGGTCCCTGAGGAGGAAGAGGCCATCACCCAGAGGATCCCTCCCCTTAGTCATCTTCCTCCTGACTGATCTGAGGGGAGCAGGGCGCCCCCTTCAAACAGAGCACAGCCCAGGAGCTGCTCCAGGAGGGGGCAGTCCCCAACTGGCTTCTCGTGCTGTTAGCTCTTGTCTCTGGGGGACTTGCTCTTGGCATCACGTTTGTTTCCTAGCAGTTTCAACATCTTCATGGTCTTGAACTTCCCCTTCTTCTTGCCCTCAGGTTCAGCCTCCCTCTGGAACTCTGCAGCACAGAGAGGGGAGCACTTAATAAAGTGGAGAAGAGGGGTACATCCAGGGCAGGCTAGACCCAGTGACACAGGCCTGGGCATGGGCAGCAGGGCTCAGCCCAGCCCCACCACTTCCTGTGTGGAGCCTGGGAGGGACAAGACACTCACCTTTCCCAGCCTCTGTCTCTTCACCTAGAGGATGGGGCCCATCCTCCCCCTCCCCACCTCCAGTGTTTGGGGAAAGATCAAGATGGTCAGCACATGTAAGAGCTCTGCTGAATCCGGGAATTCTTTTTTTTTTTGAGACTGAGTCGCTTTGTCGCCCAGGCTGGAGTGCAATGACGCGATCTTGGCCCACTGCAACCTCCGCCTCCCGGGTTCAGGCGATTCTCCTGCCTCAGCCTCCCGAGTAGCTGGGACTACAGGCAGGTGCCACCACGCCCCGGCTAATTTTTGTATTTTTAGTAGAGATGGGGTTTCACTGTTAGCCAGAATGCTCTCGATCTCCTGACCTCGTGATCCCCCCCGCCTCAGCCTCCCAAACTGCTAGGATTACAGGCATGAGCCACCACACTCGGCCTAGAATCCAGGAATTCTGAAGCATGGCATCCATTTATCTTTTTCTTTTTCTTTTTTTTGAGACAGAGTCTCTGTCGCCCAGGCTGGAGTGCAATGGTGCGGTCTCAGCTCACTGCAAACTCTGCCTCCTGGTTCAAGAAATTCTCCTGCCTTAGCCTCCCAAGTAGCTGAGATTACAGAAGTGTGCCACCACACCCAGCTAATTTTTGTATTTTTAGTAGAGACGGGGTTACACCATGTTGGGCCAGGCTGATCTCAAACTTCTGACCTCAGGCGATGAGCCCGCCTCAGCCTCCTAAAGTGCTGGGATTACAGGCGTGAGCCACCGTGCCTGGCCCCACTTATCTTTTTTTTTTTTTTTTTTTTTTTTGAGACGGAGACTTGTGCTGTCGCCCAGGCTGGAATGCAGTGGCACGATCTCGGCTCACTGCAACCTCTGCCACCTGGGTTCAGGCGATTCTTCTGCCTCAGCCTCCCGAGTAGCTGGGATTACACGCAAGCGCTGCCATGCGCGGCTAATTTTTGTATTTTTAGTAGAGACAGGGTTTCACCATGCTGGCCAGGCTGGTCTCGAACACCTGACCTCGTGATCTGCCGGCCTCGGCCTCCCAAAGTGCTGGCATTACAGGCGTGAGCCACCGCGCCTGGCCCCCATTTATCTTTAAAAGGCTGGATTCACCCAGGCTGGTGCCCACAGCTCTGTTACTTACAACACAAACGCTGTCAGAGCAAGAGAAACCTTCAAAATCATCTGTCTGAGCCCCTAATTTTATAGACAAGGAAAATGTAGGCCTTTGAAATTGACTAATACCAACTGAGCCCTTTGTAGGGCCAGGGCCCTCAGCTAAGTTTTACACATTATCTCAGTAATCCCAGCACACACCTGTGAGGGGGTGCCATTTTCACCCGCATTCTGCAGATATGAAGAATGAGACCAGAGTGGTAGAGTGGCCAGCTCAAAGTCACCCAGCTCATAAGTGCCAGAGCTGGGACTAGAACTCAAGTAGTCTGACTTGGCCTGAGTCAAGACCTAACCACAAGGCCACAAAGTGAGGTACTGGTAAAACCAAGACCAAAACCCAAATCCTGGCCAGGAACACTGGCTCACGCCTGTAATCCCAGCATTTTGGGAGGCCGAGGTGGGCAGATCGCTTGAGGCCAGGAGTTCGAGACCAGCCTGGTCAACATGATGAAACCCCGTTTCTACTAAAAATACAAAAAAATTAGCCAGGGCCGGGCGCAGTGGCTCACACCTATAATCCCAGCACTTTGGGAGGCCGAGGCGAGCGGATCACTTGAGGTCAGGAGTTCAAGACTAGCCTGGCCAACATGGCGAAACCCCATCTCTACTAAAAGTACAAAAATTAGCCGGGTGTGGTGGCAGCTAATCCCAGCTACTGAGGAAGCTGAAGCAGAATTGCTTGAACTTGGGAGGCGGAGGTTGAGTGAGCTGAGATCGTACCACTGCACTCCAGCCTGGGTGACAAAAGCAAGACTCTGTCTCAAAAAAAAAAAAAAAAAAATTAGCTGGGTGTGATGGCATGCGCCTGTAGTCCCAGCAACTCAGGAGGCTGAGACAGGAGAATTGCTTGAACCTAGGAGGCAGAGATTGCAGTAAGCCAAAATCACACCACTGCACTCCAGCCTAAACAACAGAGTGGGACTCTGTCTCAAAAAAAAAAAAAAGAAAAGAAAAAAAATCCTTTGACTTACAGTCCAGTACTTTTTTTTTTTTTTTTTTTGAGACTGAGTCTCGCTCTGTCACCCAGGCTGGAGTGCACTGGCGTGATCTCGGCTCACTGCAAGCTCCACCTCCCGGGTTCACACCATTCTCCTGCCCCAGCCTCCCGAGTAGCTGGGACTACAAGCTCTCGCCACCACGCCTGACTAATTTCTTGTATTTTTAGTAGAGACGGGGTTTCACCGTGTTAGCCCTGATGGTCTTGATCTCCTGTCCAGTACTCTTTTAACTGTTTCAAGCACCACTTGGTCCCCAGGAAGCACTGCTATTTGGGCCCACGGACTCCAACAAAACCAGCTGCAGATCTCAAGGGGGAATGCACAGCTGAGGGCAAATCCACCCTGGGAAGATGCCTCCCATATACCACAGTCGTCTCTGTAGGCATCAGGGCATCCCACGGCTACCCTCCAAGCCTAAGCCACAGCCTTCCTGGCTGTATGCTGGCCTCTCTTGCTACACACAGCCCTCTCTGCACAACAGAGGCTGCGGAGTTTGTGCACAGCCATCCTGGTAGTGCCCACTCCAACCCTCCCTTCAACCAGTCCCTCCCTTCCAACCCCAATGCCGAAGTTCAAGTGCTCACCAGCCTCATCCCCAGCAAGGGCCTCACCTTTCTTCTTGATCATGGCTTCCAACATCTTGTCTTCCTCTTCCTCCCTGAAATAAGCAGCAGCAGTTAAGCTGGGCGTGGTGGCTCACACCTGTAATCCCAGCACTTTGGGAGGCCAAGGTGGGTGGATCACCTGAAGTCAGGAGTTCGAGATCAGCCTAGCCAACATGGTGAAACCCCATCTCTACTAAAAATACAAAAAGTAGCTGGGTGTGGTGGCTCATGCCTGTAATCCCAGCTACTCGGGAGGCAGAGGTAGGAGAATCGCTTGAACCTGGGAGACAGAGGTTGTAGTGAGCCGAGGTTATGCCATTGCACTCCAGCCTGGGCAACAAGAGTGAAACGCTGTCTCAAAAAAAAAAAAAAAAAAAAAAGCAGCGGCAGCTGAGAGTCCTACGGGAGGAAGGAGCAGATGCCCTCTCTGTCCACACAGGGCTGAGCAACGGTGCACTGGGATCGCTGGTAGGAGGGCAGGGCTGGCCTGGCCTGAGGCGTGGACTGTGTCTTTGGCTCTCCAGGGAGCTGCCCCACCCATGAGGCCCAGAGCCTGACCTGCTCTGGCCCTGCCCCCAGGACCCCCCACCCCTGGCCATGTCACCTCTGCCGGTCCTCATCCAGGCAGTTGATGATAGCGTTGCGCTGCTCAATGAGGGTCACAAGCTCCTGCATCAGCACCTTCTCCCGGGCCCGGTCCTCCTCCGTCCAGTCCTTTTCTGCCCAGGGAGAAAAGTTAGGGGGCATGAGTGGTAGGAAAGCCCTCTTCCTCCCCAGGCCACCAGGAGCCACTGCCTAAGTGCGGCAGGCCAGCCCCATGCTAAATACCATGCAAGAAACTAAGCGCAGAAAGGAAGGGCCCCGATAGGTGGGGCTTACAAGTTCTTTTTTTTTTGTTTTTTTTTTTGAGACGGAGTCTCACTCTGTCGCCCAGGCTGGAGTGCAGTGGCGTGATCTTGGCTCACTGCAGGCTCCGCCTCCCGGGTTCACGCCATTCTCCTGCCTCAGCCTCCCGAGTAGCTGGGACTACAGGCACCTGCCACCACGCTCAGCTAATTTTTTATATTTTTAGTAGAGACAGGGTTTCACCATGTTGGCCAGGATGGTCTCGATCTCCTGACCTCGTGATCCACCCGTCTCAGCCTCCCAAAGTGCTGGGATTACAGGCGTGAGCCACCGCGCCCGGCCAGGGCCTACAAGTTCTTAGGGAAAAGAAAGTTGTGACAGAAGAGACCAAGGACACCAGGCTGCCTACCAAAGAGCCCTGCAAGGGGCCCCAGCAGGGCCAGCACAGCACCTACTGCAAGAACAGGGCAGCACCAAGGGTCTCATGCTCATGTTCATTCATCCATTCAACAAATGTTCACTAGGTGGCTTCTGGCGGGAGGCAAGATTCAGGAGGGACAGAGTGGGGCAGGGGCGAGGAGACAACAGGGAACCCCAGGGCTCCTCCAGCAGGAGAAGCAACACAACCCAAGTGACATACTGGGACATTTATCCAAGGCTGTGGAGGAAGGTAGACTAGAGGGGATGCTGGGGGCAGGGAGCCCAGCAGGAGGCTCCCCTGAAGCTGGGCACACCTGCTGCCCCTCCTGCCTCCTTTCCTCTCAAGGCCCCAGCCAACCCACAGGACCACCCCCAGGGGCCCACTGGGGCCCTAGTATTTCCCCCTCCCCCAGCCTGCAGGCTCCAGGGATGAGTGCCCACACTTGGCCTTCCCTCCACAACATCTACCGCCACAGGCTTCCCTGGCTTCAAATAAATATCCTAGGCCGGGCCCGGTGGCTCACTCCTGTAATCCCAGCACTTTGGGAGGCCGAGGCAGGTGGATCACCAGAGGTCAGGAGTTCGAGACCAGCCTGGCCAAATGGTGAAACCTCGTCTCTACTAAAAATACAAAAATTAGCGGGGTGTGGTGGCACACACCTGAAATCCCAGCTACTAGGGAGGCTGAGGCAGGAGAATTGCTTGAACCTGGGAGGTGGAGGTTGCAGTGAGCTCAGATCACGCCACTGCACTCCAGCCTGGGCAACAGAGTGAGACTCTGTCTCAAAAAAAAAAAAAAAAAAGTAAATATCCTTAGCCAAGCGTGGTGGTGGGCGCCTGTAATCCCAGCTACTGGGGAGGCTGAGGCAGGAAAATCGCTTGAACCTGGGAGGCGGAGGTTGCAGTGAGCTGAGTTCACGCCATTGCACTTCAGCCTGGATGTCACAGTGACACTCCATCTCAAAAAAATAATAGGCCGGGTGCGGTGGCTCACGCCTGTAATCCCAGCACTTTGGGAGGCCGAGGTGGGCGGATCACGAGGTCAGGAGATCAAGACCATCCTGGCTAACACGATGAAACCTTGTCTCTACTAAAAATACAAAAATTAGCCGGGTGTGGTGGCGGGCGCCTGTAGTCCCAGCTACACGGGAGGCTGAGGCAGGAGAATGGCGTAAACCCAGGAGGCGGAGCGTGCAGTAAGCCAAGATCGTGCCACTGCACTCCAGCCTAGGCGACAGAGCGAGACTCTGACTCAAAAAAATAAAATAAAATAAAATAATAATAATAACAAATAGGGCCAGGGCTTGGCGCGGTGGCTCACGCCTGTAATCCTAGCACTTTGGGAGGCGGAGGCGGGTGGATCACGAGGTCAGGAGATCGAGACCATCCTGGCTAACATGGTGAAACCCCGTCTCTACTAAAAATACAAACAATTAGCCGGGCGGGGTGGCAGGTGCCTGTAGTCCCAGCTACTAGGGAGGCTGAGGCAGGAGAATGGTGTCAACCTGGGGAGGCGGAGCTTGCAGTGAGCCGAGATTGTGCCACTGCCCTCCAGCCTGGGCAACAGAGTGAGACTCCATCTCAAAAAATAAAATAAAAATAAATAAATAAATAAAATAAAATAAATAAATAAATAGAGCCAGGCGCAGTGGCTCATGCCTGTAATCCCAGCACTTTGGGAGGCTAAGGTGGGTGGATCACAAGGTCAGGAGATCGAGACCATCCTGGCTAACATGGTGAAACCTGGTCTCTACTAAAAACACAAAAAATTAGCCGGGCGTGGTGGCAGGCGCCTGTAGTCCCAGTTACTTGGGAGGCTCAGGCAGGAAAATGGCGTGAACCCGGGAGGCAGAGCTTGCAGTGAGCCGAGATCGCGCCACTGCACTCCAGCCTGGGCGACAGAGTGAGACTCTGTCTCAAAAAAAAAATAATAATAATAAATAAATAAATACCCCCCCCCAAAATAAATAAATAAATATCCTGAAGCCCCCTCAGCCACTGCCCCTTTCCCCTATGGCCTCACCTTGCCAAAATTGAGGAGCAGGTGGCCCAACCTGGTTCTGGGGACAGAGCAGGGCCTCCAAATCACCACCCAAGTTTGAATCCCACTTTGCCATTTTCCATATCTGGGGCCTGGGTAAGTTATGTCCCCAGTCTACACGTGGGGAAACTGAGACTCAGGGACATGAAATCTTTGACCAGTGTCACACAGTGAAGGTGGAGCTGGTATTTGAACCTGGCAGCCTGATGCCCCCAAGCAATGGCCCTCATGGTGTACTGTACTCGGAGCCTCATACACCAGCTTCACCTTCCAAAAGCAACATCCGGGACAGGCTGACAAGCCCGGGACGCACAGCCACCACACGGGGGCTGGAAAAGCCACAGTAAGCCCTGGGGCCGGGCTAGCCAGGGAGGCAGAGGAGCCGTGCCCGCTCTGGCCACAGGGCGCCGCTGTGGCTCTGAGTGGTGGCCACGCCCCAGCCTCCTGCAGAGTTGGGAGTGACTCACACAAGGCAGTGGAAGCCTGGGACATTCTGTGGCTTCCCCTGGGACACTCCAGCCTCCCAAATTCCCCAGTCAGTAGACAGTTCCCCTGCCACCATCCCCACAGTCTGGAGGGGCTGTGTGTGCAGGGACAGCCCCAGATCAGAGACATGGATGGAAGCCCAGCCCCGTCACCAACAGCCAAGTCCCTTGACCTCTCTGGCCCTCCACTTCCCATCTGTCAAGATGGCCCTTGCCCAGGGCTGGCACCATGCCTGAGCCATAAGAAAGTGGTCAAAAGCTTTGGCTCCCAACTCTGGAATCTCCATAGTCCTGGGGTCTCTGCCTGCAGCTGCGGTTCACTGCATTCCACGGTCACAGGGCGTGTGAGGAGCCCTCCTCACCAAACCCCAACTCGGCCACATGGTAACCATCAGCCATCAGCCCTTCAGAGGGTACAGAGTCCACGTCCACTGTCTCCTGGTCCCAAGAACACCCGAGGACGTGGGGACCTTCATTCCCATCTTACACCTGAAGCCACTGAGGCTCAGTGAGGCTAAGAATCCTGCCCAAGGTCACACAGCAAGTTAGTGGCAGAAGAAGGAACAGTCTGACCCACGCACAAAACAGGCTGGGCTGGTCCTGGGCCTGATCTTCATTCACTGAGAGCCTGTCATCCCTGGTCCCTCGGACGTCCACACCCTACACTGTCTGTGCGGTTCCTTCTCCTACCACAGCCCCAGCCAGCTTACTGCCTGTTACAGTCTCTCCCATCCTTGGGGGTGACCCAGACAGCCCTGCCCCGCACCTCCTCCTCTGGCCCTGTCCCCAGTCTGCCTGTGCATCCTACTGGGGTTTTGTCTGCCCGCTCCCCCACTCCTCCGTGTCACCAGGCCCCAGGGCAGGTGCCAGGGGAGTGCCAGTGGCTGCACTCACCTGGCTTATTGAGGAGGCACCGGAGCTCATACTCGACATCAGCCTGGCGCTGCTCCAGGTTCTGCTGCTTGAAGCTAGGGGTGGGAATAAGGTGACTCTTAACAATTCTGCCCGAGCCCCGGCTGCCCTGCCCTGCGCTGTTACTGATGAGGGAAGAGGGTAAGGGTTCTCCATTCTAAGCTCTACGGATTCCAGGGAGGGATGCCCCAGGCGGGGGGACTCACACATAGATGAGCTCGGACTCTCGCCGCACCAGTAGGTGCTTCTCGTGGATGAGCTTGAACCAGTCCACCAGCATGTCATCCTCACGGCCCTCTGGAAGCCAGATACCCACTGAGGCCAGGGCTGGCTGCCATGCCTGGCTCAGTTCCCCGGGGAATAGAGGCTCCTGCCCCCAGCCCCACCCAGCAGGCCCTCCCAGCCGCTCCCGCACCATTCAGGCCGCCACGCAGCTTCTCCTCCAGCAGCACCCCACGGTGCTCCAGGGCATCCAGCCGGCGCTCAATGGTATCCATCTCTCCATGGATGTCCTCCTCAGGGATGTACTGGTCAGCCTGGACCTGCCCAACAGTGCCTGGTCACCTGACGGCCTGCCTGGTTGCTGCCAGGAGCCTTGCCCTCTTCTCTGGCCAGCATTGGCCACTGGTGGCTCCAGGGCCCGGGCCCTGTCCCCCACCCCAGCATGGTAAGAAGGCAGGGTCCCAGTGGGGAAGGGGCCAGTGTGGGGACAGCCACAACCCTGCATGCCACTGGTCCCAGCACCAACAGACACTCCAGAAGGTGGCATGACTCCCTGCCCTTCACGGAAACGCCTCCTCTCTGCCACTCCAGAAAGGGTATCACAATGTCAGTGAGAGTGACCTTATTACAGAGATAAACTTGAGAACACTCTAATCAGCTTAAGTAGCAGTGTTATCATGAGTGCTTGATACTTGAACTTGTTAGTAACAAATTAAATGCACCACCCACTGCTTTTGGTGGTGAAGGGCTGATCTGCTCCAAATCCCTCCAGGCTGCAAGCTAGACCTTCCAGTTGGGCCGCCAAGAGTGCTCTCTTGAGCATCTGAGGCCCACTGCCTAGCCAGCCAGCCTCCTTAGAGTCCCAGGGGAAGACTGCAGCTGCAGAGTGGGGGTTGCCAGCCCAGGCCAGCCTGGTCTCGGGGGGCTCCCAGCTGGTACCTTGCGTTTGATGAGTGGAAAGCCGTGTCCAGGGGCAGGTGGCCTCACTGGCTTGGATCCCTTGGTGGCCTTCTTTGTGGCTGGGGACGCTGCAGGTGATGGCTTCCGGTTAAAAGGATTCTCCTTGCAGGAGGACTAAAGGGAAGGAGACATGACAGAGGGTGAGCCTGGGAAGAGGGCACGTGAGACCCCAGCAGCCTCATATTTGGGAACATGGAAAGCAGGCCAGCACTCCAGGGCCAGCAGGACCCAGGCAAAGAGACAGTCTCCTTGAATTCCGTCTCTGATGCACTCAGTCATTCAATAAACATTTCCATTTCCTTTTCCAGAGCTCTTCCCGTGTGTCAGTTACTGCACTGGATACTTTTTACACTTTTTGGAGACAGTCTCATTCTGTCACCAGGCTGGGTGCAGCTGTGGCATAACCATGGCTGCACTGCAGCCTCAGCCTCCTGGGGCTCAAGCAATCCTCCCAGCTCAGCCTCTCGAGAAGCTGGGACTACAGGCTTGCACCACCACGCCTGGCTAATTTTTTGTATTTACTTTTTTTTTTTTGTAAAGACAGGTTCTCACTTTGTTGCCCAGGCTGGTCCCAAACTCCTGGGCTCAAGTGATCCTCCTGCCTTGGCCTTCCAAAGTGCTGGGATTACCACACCTGGCCTTTTTATACATTCTTGTTTAATTCTCCCAACCACCCTGCCAAGTGGATATTACAATGACCATTTCACAGCTGAGTAAACTCAAGTTCAGAGAGGTTAAGTCATTTGCTCACGGCCACACACTTCCCATGAGCCCAAGCTGGGGTGAGAATCTGTCTGTTTCAGGGCCTGGGCAGCCATCTAGCATTGAGGGGTAGTGGTTAGAACCTTGCCCATGTGGCAGGCAGTGCCCTACTGTGCCCCACTGGTGGGGGTGCCTGGCTGTGCTAGCCTCAAAGAGGGCAGGGGTTTCCCTAGAAGCACAGAATGGCATTGGGTTTAAGGCAAGACAGAGCTATGGTAGTTCATTCAGGCCTCATAACCACCCTCTCCCCGCTGGGGACTCTGAGGCTCAGAGAGGTGAAGTTCCTCACCCAGGGTCACCCAGCCAGGAAGTGTTTGACCAGCAGATGGAGTCAGAGGGTACCTCCCTCCCTGCCAGAGAAAGATCTCATCCTCTGCTGCACAGCCCAGTACCCACACACCCAGAGCCCAGGCTCTGCATCCTTCCGTGCCTCTGGGGAGACCCCCGCCCTCTCTGAGGCCAGCACAGGCCGGGCAGCTCCACTGCCAGGGCACGGCAAGGCCCTGCCCACCACACGGGCAATGTCACTATTTCCCAACCACTCTTCCCAGCTCATTGGAAACAGACGTCACTGCGAGCCCCTTACAGAGGCCTCACCTGAGACCTGGGATGCTCCAAGAAGCACTGACCCAGCTTTCCCTCGGCAGCTGCGGAGCAGGTGGAGGCCTGTGCCAGCCCAGGGAGAGAGGCTCTCGGGGTGGGAGCTGCTCTGGGGTTTCTGAAGCAGGGAGGGTGCTGGGGCCCAGGTCTGGGCACAGCAAGAAGCCAGGGCTTGGCTCCCACAGGGCAGCACCCACCCAATGACCCAGGGTGGCACCCCAAGGCCCCCACTGCCTCTGAAAGTCTCCCCTAATCCTGGGGTGACAGTGGGACAGGGGTTCCCCACAAGCAAGTGCACCCGGGGTTCTGCCCCCTCCCTCTAACACACCCAGAGGGGCCAGCAGAGCCAAGCAGCCCAAAGCCCCTGAGCCCCTCAAAGGTTTTCAGCCTTTTCTCAGCCCCAAAACTTCAGACCAATATTCACGCAGCCCAGGACACGAAACACGAGAATCCGAAGGTGACCCACCCCCGTGCCCTCCACCACCAAGGAACCAGGGGGTCTTTCGAGCACTCAGGACACTTGGTGCCGCCAGCCCCTCACCATCTGTGGGAGCCCGAGGCCCAGAGGAGGATGGGGCCTGCTCAAGGACACACAGCAGGTGGGAGGCAGAGCCAGAATCAATGCCCAAGAGGCTCTTGCCGGGACCAGGGAAGGTTCAACGATGCCTGAGGCACATGGGCAGGGTCAGGCTACAACTTCAGCTGCCCCACAAAGGCTGTCCTGCCACCCTCTACCTGGGGCCAGATGAGCCTTGGGAGCTCAGAGGCCTGCAGAGCGTTGGGCCATCCAAAGGCGCTGTGGCTGCAAGACAGGGCCCTCATGAACTGGGTGCCCAGAGGAAAGTACTGAGCCCAGGCAATCCCCAGGTTCTCAGTATGGGGCTGAGAAACAGGTGAGCCCACAGCACACAGCATACCTGGAACAGGAGCAGCCTGGATGGGTGCCCAGCCAGAACCTCCCCACGCCCATGTCACCTGAGAAAAGACAGAGCCCAGCAAGGGAGCAGGAGGACAGGATAGGGCCACGTCTGCTCTCCTCGGTAAACACCCCTCATGGCACACAACAGAAGCACCCAAGAAAGCTGTGTGTCCTGGGTCCTTCTGCCTGTTGAGGGCTGACCCCCTGCCCACTACAAACTCCACACACAGCAGCATGTACATTATAGCACCTCCCCCTGACCTGGCTGGGAGCGCCTTGGGGACAGGGACCACTATGTCCACATGACCTGTGGAGCCCAGGCAGCCATGCACATGGGAGGCATTCAGAGACCCCAGCTCCCCTGTTCCATGGCGGGGAGACCCAGGTCTCTGCAGAAGGGAGTGAATCCCTCCCCTCTGTGCTCTACTCTAGGTCACCTTCCAAAATGCCCATTATGCCTATCTCCCTGAGCAGATCGTGAGCCCCTGGAGGCCAAAGACAGGGTCTTTTTTTTTTCTGAGACAGAGTCTCATTCTGTTGCCCAGGCTGTGGGCCATCTCAGCTCACTACAACCTCCACCTCCCAGGTTCAAGCAATTCTCCTACCTCAGCCTCCCAAGTAGCCAGGATTACAGGTGCCTGCCACCACACCTGGCTAATTTTTGTATTTTTAGTAGAGATGGGGTTTCACCATGTTGGCCAGGCTGGTCTCAAACTCCTATCCTCAAGTGACCTGCCTGCCTCAGCCTCCAAAGTGCTGGGATTACAGGTGTGAGCCACCACGCCCAGCCAGGATAGGGTTTTAATACAACTCTGCCCAGGGTCTGGCATCAGTAGAGCCTGAGTGAATGGAAGAGCGGACAGACAATACGGGATGACTGGTGGCTGGTGAGTGGAACCCAAATAGGCAAGTGGAGGGGATGGGAGGCAAACAGGGGCCCTGATACATAAGACCTGGGAGGCTATGTTTGTGGACAGGTGGATAGATAGGTGGGAGCTCTGGCAGATGGATGGAAGCATGGACAGACGGGTTTGTGCCTCATTGGACAGAGTGGGTAATGGGTAGATAGACTGGCCAAGGCCACTCAGGAAGTCAGAGGCCAGTAAAGATAGAAAAGGCCCTAGACAGCCGGGGGCAGTGGCTCACGCCTGTAATTGCAGCACTTTGGGAGGCCAAGGCGGGTGGATCGTGAGGTCAGGAGATCGAGACCATCTTGGCTAACACGGTGAAACCCCGTCTCTACTAAAAATACAAAAAATTAGCTGGGCATGGTGGCGGGCGCCTGTAGTCCCAGCTACTCGGGAGACTGAGACAGAAGAATGGTGTGAACCTGGGAGGCGGAGCTTGCAGAGAGCCGAGATCACACCACTGCACTCCAGGCTGGGTGATAGAGCGAGACTCCGTCTCAAAAAAAAATAAAAAAGAAGGCCAAGCATGGTGGTTCATGCCTGTAATCCCAGCACTTTGGGAGGCTGAGGCAGGCGGATCACGAGGTCAGGAGATCGAGACCATCCTGGCTAACGGGGTGAAAACCCCACTCTACTAAAAATACAAAAAATTAGCCGGGCGTGGTGGTGGGCGCCTGTAGTACCAGCTACTTGGGGGCTCAGGCAGGAGAATGGCGTGAACCCAGGAGGCAGAGCTTGCAGTGAGCCAAGATCGCGCCACTGCACTCCAGCCTGGGTGACAGAGAGAGACTCCATCTCAAAAAAATTAAGAAAAGGCCCTGGACATTTCTGCCCTGAGACCAGACCCGCATCCACTAGAGAGGATGTCACTTTTAGTGAGGGTGAGGGGGCACTCACCTTTACCTGCAGCTGTGGGGACGAGCTTCCAGGGGAAGGCACCGGGCTCCTGTCTCCAACCAACAAGAGAGGCGTTGGGGTGGCGCCACTGCAGGGCTTGGCTGGCTGGGGACCTGAGCTGCCCCTGGTCCTGGGGGCAAGGCCAGGGCTGGCTTGAGGCATTTGTTCCACTCTAGGCTCCACTAGTTCCCCAGAGGAGGCCAGGGAGGAGTTGGTAGAGAGGCTGACAGGGTTTCCAGGGGTACCAGGGGCATGGACAGCAGGCTCTGAGGAGCTCTTGGGCACAGCTGGCGGCTCCAGAAGCTCTGCACCTGCAGTCTGGCTGGCGCTCTCAGACGACAGGCTCTCCACGCTGAGCGCTGGCGATGGTGTGGCCGAGGGCGGCTCCGAGTGCGAGAGGCGGGAGGCGTGGAGAGCTGTGCGGACGAGCACCAGGACACCTCACAAGGGGAGCACCACAAGGGCTTCCAGCCCCACCTCCCGGCTCCACTCTCAACAGAGCCGCAGGCAGCCCCAGAAACCCAAGCCCTCCACATCGAGACAGGGCCAAGGCCCAGGGAACAGCAAACGCCCGGCAGGACGGAAGTCATGAGGTGCATCCAGCCACCCGAGTCCAACCCGCCCGCCTTGCGTTCTGCCTGCTGCCTCCACTTCCCCACACTCCCCATAGCCCCCATGAGGGCACCCACAGCAAAACCACCTTGGGAATGCCAGAGGAAGAGAGGTGGCCCCTCCTCTGCCCCTGATCTGCAGTGCGGAGGCAGAGGGGAGGAGCACGCAGCCCTCGCAGCCACCAGCTCTGGGACAGGCACTGCCGGGCACCAATTTATCTCCTCGTGGCTGATGGATATGATGCTTCCAAACACATTATCTGCATTTTCCAGATGAGGCAACAGGCTTAGAGAGGAGAGGGCACTCGCCCCAGCACGGGGTGGGACTGAATCCACTGTATCTGACTCCAGAGCTCATGCTCCTCTGCTGTCCCCTGAAGCTGCCCACCACTTCCACCCAGACAGGCCAGCCTCAGCTGGGGTCCCAGGGCTCCGCTCAGACCCCCTGAGCACCTGCCTCTGCCAGCTCTGGCATGCTCTTGCCCCACTGTGAGAGGGGGTCCCATGGAACTCTCAGAGGCGGCCAGACCCAGCCATGGTGAAGGTTAGGGCCAAAAACCCAGCTCAGGGTATCAGAAGACTGGGAGAAGGTGAGGGCCAAAAACTCCAGCGTTCCTGGGTGAGGGGGGAAGCACTGGGCGGAGGAGGCCCAGCAGCCTGGAGCTGAGCCACCATGTCACATGGAGGACTACAGACAGACTCAGGGACAGTCAGAGTCATTACACCTGGTCACACATGGCCAGGTGAGAGCCCAGGTCGCTCAGGAACTGCAGCGACAGTGACAGAGTTAGGCAGGATTCAAGCAAACGCCTCCTTTCCATGAGCCCCTCGCTGCACTGAGCACACCACTAGACAGCACGTTTAACGAGCACGACAGGGAGGGTGAAGAGATGGACTCGGGCCAGACTCCGTGGGTTCAAATCCTGCCTCTCCTGCTTAAGCACTGAGAGGCTTTAGGCAAACTACTTAGCCTCTCTGTGCCTCAGTCTCCTCACCTGCAAAGTGGAGGTGACGATACCTACTCACAGGTTTGCTCTAGGATTAAATGAGAAGTCACCCATGAAACACGTGGTGCCTGGCCTGGTAGGCTCTGCCCCACCACACCCCCTCCCCAGGCCCGGGCCCCACCCCCGAGTTCCGACTGTCAGGAGAGCTCCAGGAAAGGCACTCACCCAGTGGGGACGCGCTGGGTGCGCGCGGGGCAGGGCGCTTCTTTGTCTTGGGGCTGCTGGTAGGGGTGATGCCGTACCAGGGGTGCAGGGACTTGGGTGTGGACTCCGGGTGGCCCAGGGCAGGGCTGGTGGCCAGGCTGGGTGCAGCTGGAGCCTCTTCCTCCTTGTCCTCCTCCTCCTCCTCAAAGGGGTTATAGGGTTTGGACTCCAGGCTGGCCGTTGGGCTCGGCTGGGCCACCTCCTCGGTGCCTCCATTCTCCACCTGCCTGCTGTCCTGGCTTGGTGGCCCCGGGCTGCTGCTTGGGGGAAGTGGGGCTGGCTTCTTCTTTGGTTCTGCCTGCACCAGCGTGATCCATGGGGGGTCCTTCCTGGGGGCTGGTGTCCTGGAGGAGGGGGGAAGCAGCAGAAACCATTAGCAGAGGCAAGGGTCAGCTTCCTTCTCTCTCTAGACAGTTTTGACTCTACTTCAAAGGGGGTGGATGAGAAACGGCTGTTTCCCTTCTCCCACCCCCATCCCCATGGGGACAGTCTGAAATGGAATGTTACAGTCACAGCCTTTGAGGCCCAGAGAATGTGAACCTTCAAGTCACAGAGCTGCTGTTAACCCAGCCCAGGAAAGGATCGACCAGGGGCTCTGCCACCTACAATCCATGTACCCTGGGAAAGTCACCTGCCCTCCCTCTGTATTAGTCTCCCTTTCCACTCAATGGGGACCTTAATAATCCTTGCCTCACAGGGTTGGTGTAAGGATGCAGTGAGCTATGGAGTGCAGCACTGGGCGGGGCACTGGGGCACCTGCTCAGTGCCAGGGACTCAGTAAACGTTAACAACTGGCACAGCCATGGCCCACCTGGCTCCCTACAGACCGACCACATGGGGGAAGCATGGCCCTCAAATAACAGCTGAAGTAGATGTCCTCCACGTGAAGCAGGGTCCCGTGCTGCAGGACCTGAGGGACTGGTACTACAGCTGAGCTTTTCCAGGTCTTTCTATACTCTGCTGCTAAGCCTCAAATCAACTCTATAATCAAGCCTCGGCCTCCCATGTTACAGGGCAAAGGAGCCTGGAGAGGCAACGGGTACCAGAGGTGGCTGCCTGCACCGGGCACTGCCCACAGGAGCAGGGACCTGGGGAGGGGGCCAGGCACTGGCCGCAGGAATCCCGGGGTGAGCCTCAGGAGAAGGGGTGTGGGCCCAGCTCTCCTTCCCCTCCTGAGCCCCGCCCTGCCCATCCACAGGAAGCCTCTCTCCCTACCCGGCCCCAGAGTACCCTGATTCCCACCACCAGGACCTCCAAAGCAGGAAAGCCCCTCAGGGATCGACATACCCCTCGGACGGCTTCGGTGTCCCCCTCGGCTTGGGGACAGGCAGTTCGTGCAGTCTCCCTAGATGGGAAAGGAGAGTGAGCCAGGCCTTCATGGGCAGCAGGAGGTGGGCACCCAGGGAGCCAGCCACAGCACCTGCCTCCCCAGGAGCGCCCCGCCTTCCTCCTGGCACCCTCGCACCTCCCCAGGCCAGCCCATGGAGATTAGATAAGCACCCAGGTGCCTGAGAACAGTCAGGGGTCAAGGCCAGGCCACCTGAGACCCCGTTTGCATTTCATTTGAGAAGAAACCCAAATCCCCTCAGACACCCCCCGCCAGTGTGGGCAGAAAACATCATCTCAAGTCAGCCTGGGAGCCACCTCCTCCTGGAAGTCCTGGACTCCCAAGTGTCCTCTGTGAATCCCACAGCAGCCCCTGCTCCCCTCCTTCCAACTTAGCAAGACTTCCACAATCCACTGAAACCCTTGCATCTGTGCCTGTCTCCACCTCAACACTGGGAGCACCCTGAAGGCACAGATAGGCCTGAACAGTAATCTGTGTCCCCAGCGGTCAGCTCAGATCCAGCCTCCACAAGAGCTGAACAAATAGAATGTTCTGGTGCAAGTCGCAGGGTGACCCTGGGAGTCTCTCTCCCCGTGGCCACCAATGCCTTCCCTAATGGAATGATAAGGGCTGCCCAGCAGCCTTATACAAGGAGTCTCAATCCTACAAGCTCACGGAAACCCAGGGAGGTCATCTGGGAGCATTCTACAATGTGGGGTTGGGGGAGAATGCACCCACAGAATGGGCCAGGGGTCTCCACTGCAGCTCACACTGGCTCCGGGGCCCACCTGACCCCTCTGCTCTCCCCCAAGCCCCTGAGCTCTCCCCTTCTAGACATAGACAAGCATAGAGGCTGGGCATGGAGGTCACCTGCAGTGTGCCTGTGGATGGGCCAGGACACACAGGAAGGACACCAATGTGCAGAGTCCCAGAGAGCTCGGGGACACACGGGCACATGCAGAGTGGCACTTACTACACACCCTGAAACTAAAGCCCACAAGAACAGATGCAAAAGAGCGCATGCAGAGGGAGGCAGTGTAAGGGCGGGGCCTGGGTCTGTATTGTTTGCACCGTCCCAGCATGGAGAACAGAGCACGGCAGAGGCTGCAGGAACTCGGCATTTGGGGCAGGAATTAATATCCTCAGAAACAGGCCAGGCATGGTGGCTCAGGCCTTAATCCCAGCACTTTGTGAGGCCAAGGCGGGCAGATCACCTGAAGTCAGGAGTTCGAGACCAGCCTGGCCAACATGGTGAAAACCCATCTCTACCCAAAAATACAAAAATTAGCCAGACATAGTGGTGTGCACCTGTAGTCCCAGCTACTTGGAAGGCTGAGGCAGGAGAATCGCTTGAACCTGGAAGGCAGAGATTGCAGTGAGCCGAGATTGTGCCATTGCACTCCACCTGGATGACAGAGTGAGATTCCGTCTCAAAAAAAATAAAAAGAGCCCGGCACAGTGGCTCATGCCTGTACTCCCAGCACTTTGAGAGGCTGAGGTGGGCAGATCACCTGAGGTCGGGAGTTTGAGACCAGCCTGGCCAACATGGTGAAACCTCATCTTTACTAAAAATACAAAAATTAGCCAGGCTGTGGTAGCCTGTAATCCCAGCTACTCAAGAGGCTGAGGCAGGATAACTGATTGAAGCCGGGAGGCAAAGGTTGCAGTGAGCCGAGATCGCACCACTGCACTCCAACCTGGGTGACAGAGTGGGATTCCATCTCAAAAATAATAATAATAGGCTGGGCACAGTGGCTCACGCCTGTAATCCCAGCACTTTGGGAGGCCGAGGCAGGCAGATCACCTGAGGTAGGGAGTTCAACACCAGCTTGACCAACATGGAGAAACCCCGTCTCTACTAAAAAAAAAAAAAAAAAAAAACAAAAAAAAACAAAACAAAATTAGCTGGGCATGGTGGCGCATGCCTGTAATCCCAGCTACTCAGGAGGCTGAGGCAGGAGAATCGCTTGAACCCGGGAGGTGGAAGTTGCAGTGAGCCGAGGTCAAGCCACTGCACTCCAGCCTGGGGGACAAGAGCAAAACTCCATCTCAAAAAAAAAAAAAAAAAAAAAAAAATATATATATATATATATATATATAATAACCTCAAAAACACAGGCAGGCCCCAACACAGCACAGCACACAATGGCACAGATGGAGAGGGGCCCACCAACACTCCCAGACACACAGACTTTTCAATAGACAGTGCACTGCCACCCGGTGCCCCCTGCCCTGACTGCACCCTGCTCACCGTTCACCAGGCTGCTGCTGCCAGCCTGCTCCACCAGGTTCTCCTGCTGCAGACTGGAGCGGGGCCGGGGCGTGGGGGGTGCTGGGGTGGTGCTCTCAGAGGCCTTCCTGGGGGCAGGGGTGGGGCGGCCCGCAGGGGGGCTGGCCAGCTCCTGTAGTTTGCCAGGAACCCGGGGCTTGGTAGGGATCTGCGGCCGGGCCTCAGGGCTGGCCTTGGGTCCATCGGCCTCAGCCCCTGCAGGAGCACTGGAGCTGGGGCCGCCTCCTGGAACATCCTTGGCATCTTCTGCGAGTTGCTGCTGGTGCTGCTGCTTTGGCTGTGAGAAGGGCCCAGGCCTGGTCCCCGACCGTGTCCCCGGGCCCAGCCTGGCACAGTGTTCTGCACACACAAAGGTGCCCTCCTCAGGCCCATTCTCATAAGCCCCAGGGAGCAGGGTGCTGGAGCACCGCCGACACCTGGCAGGGGACAGGACAGGGGTTCACTTAGCCAGGCAGCTGGGCCCAGGCACTGGCTACCCCTCCAGCCGCACCCAGGGCTGTCTCCTCCCTTCCCTCCTCCCAACTGCCAGCCAAGCTCGACTCCATACCCTAGACTTCCCAGAGGATAAAGAAAACAGTAACTGTCAGAAGCATAGTGGAACAATAAAATCACCAAATCACACGAACTCAGCAACAGAAATTGTGAAAAATGCCTTCAGTTTATGCTGCAAGAGGAAGAAGCAAAGGTCCCCCTGAGAGGTGGCATCCAGTGAGTGGCTGCATCCAGTAGTGGCTCAGGAAAATAAAGCAGTGGTTTTTACCCAATCAGGTGTTGTTTTGTGTTTTGTTTTCATTTTGTTTTGTTTTGTTTTTTTGAGATGGAGTCTCACTCTTGTTGTCCAGGCTGGAGTGCAATGGTGCGACCTTGGCTCACTGCAACCTCCGCCTCTCGGGTTCAAGAGATTCTCCTGCCTCAGCCTTCCGAGTGGCTGGGATTACAGGCATCTGCCACCACACCTGGCTAATTTTTTTTTGGCATTTTTAGTAGAGACGGAGTTTCACCAAGTCGGCCAGGCTGGTCTCAAACTCCCAACCTCAAGTGATCCACCTGCATAGGCCTCCCAAAGTGCTGGGATTACAGGTGTGAGCCACTACTTCCGGCTGTGTTTTGTTAATGAAATAGAATAAGATACAATGTATAAGACAGTATCATACAAGAAAGGCCAAATAGTGCTTTGTGAAACTCTTACTCCAGCTGTGCCTCTACTTACACAGTTTTATTTCAGGTAAATATTTACATCTAGTCACAGTGTCAAGTGTATTTTTTACTAGGAGTTGCTATAAAAAGTTTCTTTTTATTTTTGAGGCAGGGTCTCACTGTCACCCAGGTTGGAGTGCAGTAGTGCAGTCATAACTCACTGCAGCCTCAAACTCCTGGGCTCAAGTGATCCTCCTGCCTCAGCCTCCCAAATGCCTAAGACTACAGGTGCGTGCCACTACACTAGGCTAATTTTTTTTTTTTTGAGACGGAGTCTCAGTCTGTCGCCCAGGCCGGAGTGCAGTGGCGTGATCTCGGCTCACTGCAAGCTCTGCCTCCCAGGTTCACACCATTCTCCTGCCTCAGCCTCCCGAGTAGCTGGGACTACAGGCGCCTGCCACCACCATGCCCGGCTAATTTTTTTTGTATTTTTAGTAGAGACGGGGTTTCACCGTGTTAGCCAGGATGGCTTCGATCTCCTGACCTCGTGATCCACCCGCCTCGGCCTCCCAAAGTGCTGGGATTACAGACATGAGCCATTGCGCCTGGCCTAATTTTTTTTTTTTTTAATTTTTTTGTAGAGATGAAGTCTCATTATGTTGCCCAGGCTAGTCTTAAACTCTGGGCCTCAAGCGATCCTCCAGCCTCAGCCTCCGAAAGTGCTGGGATTATAGGCATGAGCCACCACCACACCCAGCTCCGGCCTGTAAAAAGTTTCTAAAACACTGCCCTGGTAGCCAGATGTGACTGTGTTGGTAGAGTCTGTTTCCTCCTCGAGATTTTTCCCCATGACACCCCAATTCTGCGGTCAGGTTCCAGGGTTCCAGCACCAGCTGCCCCCCACTCAGGGGCACACTCAACCAGATCAAGTGCGTGCTGCCACTCCCGGCTTCCTTGACTGTTCAATTTCCTCTTTTGGTTTCATTTTTGAAACATATAAAATGTTTCCATGAATTTTCTAAGTTTTTTTACTTTCCTTGCTGCTTATACCACTCTCTTAAAATCTGGCTTCCCTTGGAAGCCACATACTTAAAGCAAGTTGTTACTGTAATTTTTTAAAACTTCAAGCAGAACATGGTAGCACATGCCTGTAGTCCCGATTACTTGGGAGGGTAAGACAGGAAGATCACTTGAGCCAAGGAGGTTGAGACCAGCCTGGGCAACATAGTAGACCCATCTTAAAAGAAAAAAAGATTTTTTTTTTGAGACAGAGTCTCGTTCTGTCGCCCAGGCTGGAGTGCAAAGGTGCGATCTCAGCTCACTGCAACCTCCACCTCCTGGCTTCAAGTGATTCCTGCCTCAGCTTCCCGAGTAGCCGGGATTACAGGTGCCCACGACCACACCCAGCTAATTTTTGTATTTTTAGTAGAGATGAGGTTTCACCACGTTGATCAGGCTGGTCTCAAACTCCTGACCTCAGGGTGATCCACCTGTCTCGGCCTCCCAAAGTGCTGGGATTACAGGCGTGAGCCACCATACCCGGCCAAAAAAAAATTTTTTAAGCTAAAATATTTCATTTTATTTTTTCAATGGCCTTTTTTTTTTTTTTTTTTTTGAGACAGAGTCTCGCTCTGTCACCCAGGCTGGAATGCAGTAGCACGATCTCGGCTTCCTGTAACCTCTGCCTCCCGGGTTTGAGCGATTCTCCTGCCTCAGCCTCTCGAGTAGCTGGGATTAGAGGTGTGCACCACCATGCCCGGCTAATTTTCAATGGCTTTTAAAGTACACGTGGCTTTTAAAGTGCTCCTTCATCCTCATCCAGTAGTTATCCTCAAAAAGCGTAGGCGCTGGAAGGAAAACCCCTGTGCTCTAACCCTGTTTCTGTCTCGAATCATGTGGCTGAGCAACTGCTTTTCCCCTCACTAAGCCTTGGTTTGCTCATCAGTAAAATGGGGATAAGCCAGGGGCTCTGGTGTGAAGGGCCTGGCAAGGTGCCTGGCGCACTGTGTGTGCTGAACCCACGGTAGCCCCCTCCCTGGTTTCGGGGGTAACACGCGGCCCTGGCCACTCACCGGAAGCAGTGGCGATGGTACAGCCTGCCGTCAGCCAGGTAGCGCTGCACCAAGTGCACATGCTGCTGGCAGGCTGCGCACGTGCTGCTGGGGGTCTGGCCGGTGCCCTGCTCTGACAGGCTGCCTGAGGAGAGCTCCTCGCCCTGCAGAGAACGAGGTGGGGGAGGTTGGGAGCAGGACATGGTCACCAGCCATCCTGTTCACATCACTGCCCTCTCCCTCCCTCCAACGGCCACCGTCACTCAAGTGTGCACCAGGCTTCGTGGTGGAAATGGACTTCATCAGGGCCCCAGGAGGGGCAGAGGGCAGGAGGCTGCCACTGTCTCCCAGGTGAGGAAGCCAAAGCCCAGAACGGAGGAAAGCCTTGTTCAAGGTCACTGAGCCAGTGCGGAAACACGAAAATCCTGACTTCCGGTTTCTGAGGCTTCCCTCCCCAAAGGAAGGCAGCTCCTGGCTGTGCAGCCCCTTCCCCTTGGCGGCTCCTGCCCCCTCCTCCTCCCCTTTGCGGGGGAGCCCCCCTGACAGGTTCCTGTCCTCCCAGGCCGACCTCAGCTGCCTTTTCTGTTCTCTCCTAGAACTGCCACGGATTTAAATCCCAGTTTCTCTACATCCAAGCACAGTGAACCTGAGCAAGCTGCTCAAGTGTGGGCTTGGGTCCCACCTGCAGAATGAAACTGTATAACCCCTGCCAGCCTCAGCCCCATGTACCCTCATGGAGCACCCACCCTGGGGCTAGCTCCCTCCAGCAAAGAGCAGATGGGAGCAGGAGGGGAAGGCCCTTTACACACTGTAAGGTGCCGTCCAGATGTGAAGGGCTGGTGTCACTTCCTCTAAGCCCTTCAAACAGGTGACTGGCAGTTGGCCCCCACTTCCTTACTAAGTAACCTTGGACAAATGACTAAACCTCACTGAGCCTCAGTTTCCTCATCTGTATACCAGGGCCCATAATGCTGACCTCCCTGGGTTGTTGAGAGGATTAAAGGAAATCAAGCCGGGAAGTTTACAGCTGTCTCCACAGGAATCAAGGGGAATCTTTGCTTTACTACGTGTGTAACTCCTGACAGTCCCATGATGGTGAAGTCAGCATTGTGGACTGCCCTCTCTCCCCTTGCCAGAGCTGGCATCTCCTGACCCCACCTGAGTCCTGGAGAAGGAGGTAGGGCTCCCTGCCCATAGAACGGGACTGGCCTCCTGACCCATGCCTCACTGCCCCAGTCAGGGACACCTGTTCCCAAAGCCAATAGGGCAGGGACAGAGAACAAGCACCCTCTGAACACTGTCAGGGCTAACTTCCTCACATGACCCAGTCACTGCAATGATAGTCGTCCACATAACTCGCCCCCTCCACCCCTGGCCCTCCCACCTCTCCAGGTATCTGCCTACCTGAGCCACATCTTCTGGTTCCACTGGAGTGGGTGCTACAGACGGCGGGGAACAGGGTGCAAGGCCCTTTCTGGGTGGCGAGACACCAGCTGCCAAGAGATGAGAAAGGGGTCCTGAAGCAGGTGGAGATCCTGGAGTCCCAGGAGGTCCCAACCTGGCTGAAGATTTGAGACCTGTAGCCATCACCTAAAGGCAGACCACCTAATGCAGTGGGACAGGAGCTGGCTCCCGCTTCACACGGGCCCGGGGACGCTTCCAGTTTTAAGCCAAGTGCTGAGGGCAAGCCATGAACCTCACTGAACCTCCATCAAATGGGGAGAGTGACTCCTACTGCACAGAGCCAATCCGAACAATGGCGCAACAGTACGATCACAGAACACAGCACCCGCGTGTGGCTACACCAGCAGCTTCCCTGCCACCAGGGTAGAGGAGGTGAAGGAAAGGAAAAGAAAGGAACCATATGGTGCTGCCCTGACAGCTCAGGAAAGGCGCTGCCTCCTTGGGGTTGACAAGGAGCTGTCCTGCCTATCCCCAAGTGGGTATTGGGGGCCAGAACCCGGCCTGCACACCCCCTCACCAGAACAAACCCACCCACCCTGGGTTCCTCTAAGACTCAGCTCCTCAGGCCGGGCACAGTGGCTCACGTCTATAATCCCAGCACTTTGGGAGGCTGAGGTGGGTGGATCATTTGAGGTCAGGAGTTCAAGACCAGCCTGGCCAACATAGTGAAACACCATCTCTACTAAAAATACAAAAATCAGCTGGACATGGTGGTGCGCGCCTATAATCACAGCCACTCAGCCACTCGGAAGGCTAAGGCAGGAGAATCGCTCGAACCTGGGAGGTGGAGGTTACAGTGAGTTGAGATCGCGCCACTGCACTCCAGCCTGGGCAACCGAGCAAGACTCTGTCTCAAAAAAAGAAATAAATTCAATAACACTATGGTTGGTGCCAGGAGTGGCTCCAGCTGACTGGGGAGAGGCCCTTAGAAGCCACATGAAGAAGCTGGACTTCATCCTGACATTACTCCCCAACCCCTTTCTGATTTCCCACAGCCACTCGGCTTCCTTCACTCCTGCCCTGGCTCCCTGAGCAGGCTGCAGCTCCTCCAGGGTGGGGGTCTGTCTGTTGTGCCCGGGGTCACTGGCACCCACTGAGCGTGGTGGCACAGCTGAACACTCAGCACAGCACCACGACATCTCAGCCAGGGGCAGGCTCCAAACTTACCCAGTCTGGTAAAAAGTCAAGGCTAGTCAAAGTCACTCTTGAAATGCCTCCACTCGCCCAGAAAGTACAGTACAGGACCATCTGGGGGAGTCGAACAGCCAGCTTTGCCTCCAGAGTTGGAACACATCACTGTTTCCTTTGCTTAAGCAGCAGATGGGATAAAAATGGTTTGCATTTAGGGGCCAAGTTGTATGAAAGGCACAAACTGTACCTTTTCTTTTTTATTACAAAAGGCAGATTTATTAGAGAAGGTATGAAAATACATTGCGAGGCTGAAAATACAGGCAGCATAACAAAGGACTGTCTGCCACAAACTGTACCTTTATCAATGAGAATCCCTGCAGGGCGAGGGAGTGCCCATGCCCACACTCAGCACGGTAAGCTGTGCCCACCAGGGCTGCCCCTGCCCACCAGGCTGCCCAGAGAGGGCCAACGAATGAGCTGCGTACCACCAACAGCTGCCCACACCCCACCCACCCCGCAGAGTCCCAGAGATGAGCTCAGTAGAGAGAGATTCAGGTTTGGCCACAAGGAAGGCCGCAGGCTAAGGCTGAATTGCGATTCTAAGGAATCCAGCTAAACGCTAATCAGTGAAATAAGAAGTAGTAAGAATACTAATCTTGGCTGGGCGCAGTGGCTCACACCTGTAATCCCAGCACTTTGGGAGGCCAAGGTGGGTGGATCACTTGAGGTCAGAAATCCCAGACCAGACCGGCCATCATAGTGAAACCCTATCTCTACTAAAAATACAAAAATTAAGCCAGGCGTGGTGGTGCGCACCTGTAATCCCAGCTACTTGGGAGACTGAGGCATGAGAATCGCTTGAACATGGGAGGCAGAGGCTGCAGTCTGCCAAGGTTGTGCCACTGAGCTCCAGCCTGGATGACACAGCGAGACTCTGTCTCAAAAAAAAAAAAAAAAAAGAATACTAATCTAAATAGGTGCCAAACACTGGTTTATACATTTCCTCATTTACTCCTCAAGTCAACCCTGTGAGATGGGTGTTATTCCTATCCTCACTGCAAAAGGGAAACTGAGGCAGAGTGGTTAAATAACTGACCCATGGTCACCCAAAGAGGAAATGGCAGAGTGAAAATTTTGAGTCCATGCTCTTAACCCCAACCTTAGACTGCCTCTCACCAGAGCCTCTGGGGTCTGGAAATACTTTCATTTTGTTTTCTATTAAAATATACATAATGTTATTTGTTCAATTATTTTAATCCCTAGTGTTACATCAGGGGGAAGGGGTATAAGACATTATTTTAATTTTTCTGCTTTTGCCATGTTCTAAATTTTCTTGTTTATTTTTTCTGTTTAGGGATGGGGTCTCGCTCTGTTGCCCAGGCTGCAGTGCACTGGCGTGATCATAGCTCACCGCAGCCTCAAACTCCTGGCCTCAAGCAAACCTCCCATCTCAACCTCCCATGTAGCTAGGACTACAGGTGTGCCACCACTATGCCTGGTTAATTTTTTTATTTTTATTTTGGTAGAGACAGGTTCTTGCTATGTTGCCCAGTCTGGTCTCAACAGCAATCCACCTGCCTCGGCCTCCCAAAGTGCTGGGATTACAGGCATGAGCCACTTCACCCGGCTATTTTTTCTTTTTTTCCTAAAGTTATTTATTTATGGCTGGGCATAGTGGCTCATGCCTGTAATCCCAGCACTTTGGGAGGCCGAGAAGGGTAGATCCCTTGAGCTTAGGAGTTCAAGACCAACCTGGGTAACATGGTGATACTCCACCTCTACAAAAAATATAAAAGTTAGCTGGGTGTGGTTGCATGCACCAGTAGTCCCAGCTTCTCAGTAGGCTGAGATAGGAGGATCACCGCAGCCCAGGAAGGTTGAGGACGCATTGAGCTGTGATCATGCCACTGCACTCCAGCCTAGGCAACACAACAGAGTAAAACCCTGTCTCAAAAAAAATACACATATATGTGCGTGTGTGTGTGTGTGCGCGCACGCATATATACACATAATATATGTACATATATATGTATATGCATGTATATATATACATATATATATATAATGAAAGAAAAGATGGCTGGGTGCAGTGGCTCATGCCTGTAATCCCAGCACTTTGGGAGGCTGAGGTGGGTGGATCACCTGAGGTCAGGAATTCGAGACCAGCCTGGCCAACATGGTGAAACCCCGTCTCTACTAAAACTACAAAAATTAGCCGGGTGTGGTGGCGGGTGCCTGTAATCCCAGCTACTTGGGAGGCTAAAACAGGAGAATCGCTTGAACCCGGGAGGTAGAGGTTGCAGTGAGCTGAGACCGCGCCATTGCACTCCAGCCTGGGCAAGAAGAGTGAAACTCCATTTCAAAAAAAAAAAAGAAAGAAAAGAAAAGAAACCTCTGACTTCATAAAACACTTTAAAGAGTTGGGCCAGGGCCGGGCGCAGTGGCTCATGCCTGTAATCCTACCACTTTGGGAGGCCGAGGCAGGTGGATCGCCTGAGGTCAGGAGTTTGAGACCAGCCTGGCCAAAGTGGCGAAACCCCATCTCTACTAAAAATACAAAAATTAGCCGGACATGTTGGTGCATGCCTGTAATCCCAGCTACTCAGGAGGCTGAAGCAGGAGAATCACTTGAACCCCGAGGGCAGAGGTTGCAGTAAGCCGAGATCGCGCCATCGCACTCCAGCCTAGGCAACAAGAGCAAAACTCTGTATCAAAAAAAAAAAAAAAAGAGTTGGGCCAGAACTGTCTAGACCGACAGCAGAGGCAGGAGGGAGGGGCTGAAATGGGCTCTACTCAGACCCAGGGACAGCAGGAATCCAGCGTTGGATTCAGGACACCTGGATTCTCAACCCAGCTGTTCAGTTTGTCTGCTGTGTGATCTTGAGCTCCTTGCTTCCCCTCTCTAGGCCTATCTCATCTCTGCAGAAGGGGAGGCCCAGCTACCTGCAAGGGAGGTCCTTGCATGGGAATGCCCAGTGACCTCACTCAGAACCGAGTCACTTTGTAGCCCCTGCAACTCTGGTTCCCCAGTTCCCCAGCCTCTCAGCTCTCAGTCACTTCTGTGGAAGACAGCACAGCAGCCTCACCAGACAGAGCCACTTCCCTGCTGGAGGAAAAACCCAAGGAAGTGTCTGCAAACAGGAAGTGAGGGTGGGTGCCGGGGAGGTGGACTCCATGCAGCGGATGAACGCAACCTGCTGTGTCTCCTCTGATATGATTGTGTTCATTTTCTGGTGGGTGTGTTTGGTGTCTATCTCCCCCACGGGACTTCAGCAGTGATTACATTCACAGCTGCATCCCCAGAGCCCAGCACAGGCTCTTTTACTCAAGATATATGTCAGGCCGGGCACCAGTGGCTCACGTCTGTAGTCCCAGCACTTTTGGAGGCTGAGGCGGGCAGATCACCTGAGGTCAGGAGTTCAAGACCAGCCTGGCCAACATGGTGAAACCTCATCTCTACTAAAAATACCAAAAATTAGCCAGGTGTAGTGGTGGGTGCCTGTAATCCCAGCTACTCAGGAGGCTGAGACAGGAGAATTGCTTAAACTCAGGAAGCGGAGGTTGCAGTGAGACAAGATCGTGCCATTGCACTCTAGCCTGTGCAACAAGAGTGAAACTCCGTCTCAAAAAAAAAAAAAAAGTGGGACTGGGCACAGTGGCTCACGCCTGTAATCCCAGCACTTGGGGAGGCCAAGGCGGGCAGATCACGAGGTCAAGAGTTTGAGACCAGCCTGGCCAACATAGTGAAACCCTGTCTCTACTAAAGACACAAAAAATTAGCCGGGCGTGGTGCCGGGTGCCTGTAATCCCAGCTACTTGGGAGTCTGAGGCAGGAGGTTAAACCCAGGAGGCGGAGGTTGCAGTGAGCCGAGATCGTGCCATCGCAATCCAGCCTGGGTGACAGGGCAAGACTCCATCTCAAAAAAAAAAAGAGCGAAACTCTGTCTCAAAAAAAAAAAGAAATATTTCAATGAGTGAATTAATGAATAAGTAAATGAATGACACACTCCTCAGCAGCCTGTTTACAACTCAGAAAACCAGTAGCAAGCATCAGACATCCCCAGGGCCACCCCCTGGGCCAGCCTCCGTGAAACGCTGAGTCCCCCTCTCACCTTGGCCAGGACTGCAGAAGTGGTTGTAATACTGGGACACATAGGTCATGATGCTGAGGCAGTCAGGGACGCTCATGGAGACCATGTCATTGGGGTCCAGGAGAGCGGGGATCCCCAGCTCCTTCTCAGCCACTTCAAAGGCCTGGGGTGGTGACAGGTACAAGGGCGGGAGCAGCCGAAGCAGGAAGAGGAGGAGGCGTTAGGGGGCGACCCCTCAGCCTAGGCCCAGCTCCCTTCAGTGGGATGGGGTGACTGTGGGCTCCCCTCAGTATTAATCCCACCCAAGCACCACAGGATGGCCTGGAGAAAGGGGAAGCCTGGTGCTCCATGCATGAGGAGGCTGGTGGGAAGCAGAGGGTGGGGAAAGGTGCAGCCAGGGCCGGTGTACAAGGGCAGCCACCGTGCAAGACCCCTGCCCTCCCCACCAAACACACACACACACACACACACATACACAGAGCCTCTTGGGCTTCCACCTGTCCGGGAACTTACCAAACGGTTATTCTCGAAGACATTGTCCTTGGAAAGCGAATCAAAATCTCTGCAAGAGGCAAAGGGAGGAGGGTTGGTCAAGAGGGGAGGTGACTGGGAAATAGGGGCGGGGTCAGAGTCAGAAAGGAGCTGAACAGAGAAGACCTTGTCCCAGCCAGCATCAACCTCAGCAGGGTTGCTGGGGGGGAGTCTGTGGATTACTAAGGGGGAAACTGAGGCAGCAAACATTCGCTGCTAGAGCTGGAGCTGCCAGGGCAGGGCAGGGCATGAGATCACGGGCCCTGGAGGCATCCAAGCAGAGGCTAGGAAATCACTGGGAAGGGGTGAGGCTCAAGCCCAGGCTTTCAAGCTTAAGATCCTTTGCCTCTCTGCAGGAAGCCACCCCTGGAGTCCGTGGCAAAGACATAACTAAGACCCGCATGTGACCTCCCCCAGGGCGCAGTGCTGGGCTCCTCTGTCTCATTTACTTTCTTTTCACAGCAACTCTGTTTGGCAAGAATTGATCTCATTTTATAGATGAGGACACTGAGGCCTGGAGAAAGGAAGCCACCAGCCCTGGGAATCCACATGTCTGGCCCTCCCACTGCTCACAGGCCCCTGCAGGTGTGTCACACACTCGGAGTAGCCACACCAACTTGCTGCATCCCAACCCGGTCCAGCCTGCAGATGAATGTTTTTCTTAATGGGGCCGTGAATAGAAGAACAAGTTTGAACCAGAGTGGAAATGTACATACTCCGGAGCTGCTGGCATAGAACAGCTGGTTGGCCCCACTGGGCCACTCCTGGGGCAGCCTCCATTGGGGAAGCAGTGAGGGATTTTCTAAACTAGGAAAGGTGAGAGGTGGCAGGGCCTGTCTGGGGGCCCCAGCACGGGACAGCTGGCTGGCCTGCAGGCTTTATTTATCCCCCTCCTCCCTCCCCACTCCAGGCCGCTGAAACCAGCAGAGACAGCTCAGTCTTCCCGCCGGGCAGCCTCCTGGGTGCATCCGCATGCAGCCTTGCCCTTCTATGGCTGAAAACTGCAGCCCTGACTGCCGGAGATGGGTGGGCAGAGGCAAGAGCAGGCCACGCCGCCTCTGAGGGCTGAATTCCCATGTGACCATGGGGTTGGGGGGATCAGCAGTCCTTCCAGCATTCATTGTCCCATGTGCAAATCAGGAAAAGCACTAATACCACCTCCCAAGCTGGTGGAGTCCCAGCTTGGTAAAGGGCAGGCCTCGCAGATATGAGGGAGCCAGGTAAGCACAGCCCCCTCCTCCTGCCCCCAACACTTTTCCAGGCAGGGGCCAGGGACTGTGAACCCTGGGCAGGAAAGAGTTGCTTGAGGACCTTGGAAGGGGTCTGGTGCCCCAGGGCTGGGTGGACGGGGAGAGGCAAGGTGACTATGTCTGGGCACCAGCTCCCTTTTTGCCACTCTGACCAGGCCACTTCCTTCTCCCCTGGGCTGCCTCCCTAGCTCCCCTTTTCTGCCACTGCCTCAGAGTGCGACCTTAGCAAGGTGTTTCACCTCTCGAAACCTCTGTCTCCCGGTCCGGTTCAGGACACTGCAACAGGGCGAGGAAAACACCATGGTACCCAGCCCCCAACAGAGGCTTTTTCCAAGACCAAATGAGACAAAAGCAACTTGTCTCAGCCGTTTATTTCGGTCACCCCAGAAGTGTTCCAAGAAGGCTGGGGTCACATTCTAGCTACTCTGTGCCCCCAACTCCCTACACAGTTCCCCAAATTTCGAAGATGCTCCGTAAATGTTTGTTGAATGAATCAATGTTGAAAACAGTGTGAAAACTGTAAAAAACCTTCAGGATCCTGCAGGTTTTCTTCCACCCCCATCTCTGTCCCTAATTAACATCTGTGTTTTGGTAACACATATATTTTCTGAGAGTCTTCAGAGGCCTGCGGAGTTCTACTTGGCTCTGGGGAAGATGAAGGACACAGAAATGAAACCCACATGGTCCACGCCCTCAAAGGAGCTTAAGCATGTCTGGATTTCGGGTGGTGCGGAGGGATGGCCCAGCCCCCACAACCCTCGTCCCAGCAGAGCCCTGGGCCAACACTGGGTTCACCCAGGCAGGGCCCACAGCCCCAGAAGCCTGAACCAATTTAGGAGATGATTCTTGCCCTCACTCTAGGCCACTCCTATTCTCACGGAGATCCTCCCAACCCATCACTGAGGACTTCCCTACACATTATGTGGGACCTGGGCCTCAGCTTCTCTCCTGTGCAATGCGCTGGCAATATTGCAAATGAATGCCTGGACATGATTCTGGATCTCAGAAGCGGAGCCACCCTCCCCTGCACATTTTTTCCAGCCACATCCCTCCCTTGCTTAAAACCTACGTGGTTGGCCAGGCGCGGTGGCTCACACCTATAATCCCAGCACTTTGGGAGGCCAAGGCAGGTGGATCACGAGGTCAGGAGATTGAGACCATCCTGACTAACACAGTGAAACCCCGTCTCTGCTAAAAATACAACAAATTAGCCAGGCATGGTGGCGGGCACCTGTAGTCCCAGCTACTCGGGAGGCTAAGGCAGGAGAATGGCGTGAACCCAAGAGGTGGAGCTTGCAGTGAGCAGAGATCATGCCACTGCACTCCAGCTTGGCTGACAGAGCGAGACTCCGTCTCAAAAAAAAAAACCTACGTGGCTCGGCCAGGCATGGTGGCTCACGCCTGTAATCCCAGCACTTTGGGAGGCCGAGGCAGGCGGATCACCTGAGGTCAGGAGTTCGAGACCAGCCTGGCCAACATGGTGAAACCCCATCTCTACTAAAAACTACAAAAATTAGCCAGGCATGGTGGTGCGTGCCTGTAATCCCAGCTACTTGGGAGGCTGAGGCAGGAGAATCGCTTGAATCCGGGAGGCAGAGGTTGTGGTGAGCCGAGATCACGCCACTGCACTCCAGCCTGGGTGACAGGCCTCCATCTCAAAAAAACAAAAACAAAAACAAAAAAAACCCTGCATGGTTCCCTGAGGCCCCTATCCATGCTCCTTAGCCAGCAAAAGCAGCTGTCAGCCATCTGTCCCAACTGCATCTCCCAACTCGCTACCTTGTGCTCCCCACTCAGCTACACAGCCTCCAGCTTTGCACACACCTCCCGCCCCTTGCCTTTGCTCAGATGGGGTCCCATGCCAGAACGTCCACCCAGCAGCCCTCACCTGGCTCCTGCCATCTCCTTGAAGACTATATTCTCCCTAGGAGGTCTCCCACCCCCAGCCCTCTGATAGGGTACATGGAATTGCCATCATCGTTTATACACGTTTCCCCTACAGGTGTGGGAGAGCGTGTAGGGTTGCCTGTTTTGTCGATTGGTACTTCCATTACCAGGTACAGTGTCCAGCACAGAGCAATATGACTCTACAAATACTGGTTGAATAAATGAAGAAATCAAACATTGTTATTGGGCCAGGCATGGTGGCTCATGCCTGTAATCCCAGCATTTTGGGAGGCTGAGGTAGGCAGATTACTTGAGCTCAAGAGTTCAAGACCAGCCTGGGCAACATGGTGAAAACCCATCTCTACAAATACAAACAAATTAGACAGGCGTGGTGGCGTGTGCCTGTGGTCCCAGCTACTAGGGAGGTTGAGGTGGGAGGATTGCTTGAGCCCGGGAGGTGGGGGCTGCAGTGAGCCATGACTGTGCCACTGCACTCCAGCCTGGGTGACAGAGTGAGACCCCATCTCAAAAAAATAAAAAACATTAAAAAAAAAAAAAGTAACATTAGTTACTCACAGTAACTAATGTTAAATGAATGCTTGTTATCTCATGCAATCCTCACATTTCTGTGAGCTGTGTCACATTATCAATCCCACCTCACAGATGAGGACACTGATGCCTGGAGAGAGCCCATGAGGACCCAAGGCCATGCGCCTAAGACATGGAGAAGCTAAACACAAACCAGGCGGCCTTTATTTACTTTGATGCCACCAGGCTCAGGCCCACCAAATGGCTTCACTTCACACCCAAGTCCCCTCCCACACTGGGTTTGTCCCTGCTTCCTGCCTCACTCCTGCCCCTCAAACAAAACAGAAGACCCCTTGGGCCCTCCCTTCCAATGCCCAGGTCTAACCCTGGTGCCCTTTTCCTCCATCCTTCTACCCCCTGCTCCTGGGCAACCAGGCATCAACCTTGTGCTTCCATTAGTATGGGTGTCACATGCCCCACAGCGGGCAGGGGCCCACCTACATGACCACCTCATCTTGTTCCCTTCTGTATCCACAGCCCCAAAACCCTCTCCTCCAGGGCCCAAGCCACCACCCACAGACACGGTACTGCAGGGTACATACAGGTAAACCAGGTGCACCTGCATCATGGAATCCTGAGGCAATCCCTTAGAAGCCTTCCCACATGCTGCCCTCGGACAGTGCAAATCTGGAGGTGGAACAGGCACAGAAAGCCTCCATCTGCCAGGCTGGGGGAGCCCTGGCAAGAGGGCTGCATGCGAAAGGGGTAGGGACCAGAACTCTCCTCCCTGATTCACAGGTGAGACCTGAAGTGCAAGGAATGGCACCAGATAAACTCACCCAGTGTTTTAGGAATGAAGGGACGAAAGGAGGAGAGGTTCCAGGGCTCAAGGCAGAGAGAGCAAAGACAGAGGCTCCAAGTCAACTGTTCCGGGGAGTCTGAATGCATTTTCCCATGAGAACCTCATTGGGCAGCTCTGGGCAGGAAGGGGCCATTTCACAACCTGCAGCACCCGGTTGGTGTCTATCAATCGGATCCTAGGAGTCTTCCCAACATTGCCGGCCTGTGACTCCTCTTGCGCGCCCCACCTGCGTGCCCCACTGAGGAGGGCTGCAGGGCCATCGAGCACACACCCGGGAGGCAGGGCTGCGTCCTAAGTTGGGGGGCGTGGGGAAAGCACAGGGTCTGTACATCCATTCATCCAACACCTGTTAGCCGAGGTCTCCTCTGTGCCGGGAACTGTGCTACTGTCCGGAGACAAGCTCCTATTTGGGGGTCAGAGAAGTGGGGGTTCACCTGCACACCCGGAGCAAGGGGCCACCCCGAGTGGGAAGCCTCGGGGGAGAGGGGAGGCCCGGCGAGCCCGTGGAGAAGAGTTTAGGGTAGGAGAGGCCCAGGGCCCCCAAAGAGGGCTCAACACCCCTTCAAAGAGGTCAAGGGCTTAGGGGTTCAGCGATCCTCGGCGGAAATCAGCGCTTTGTGGGCGGGGCCAGTGTCCCCGCGGAGGGACCAGCCTCGGGGGAGAGTTCGGGATCCCACGGGCGGGGTCAGGGCGGCCGGGCGGGGGAGGGGCGCCCTGGGCCGGGGTCTCAGGGACCCGCCCGGCGTCCGGGGCCGTCGGGGGGGTCGGCGTCTCCGTGTCCGGGGGCGGCGCCTGTCACCGCCCGGGCTTCGTGTTACTGAGGGGGGGCGGCGGTCGCGGCCCCAGCCCGCCCCGCGCCGCCCGCTCGCCCGGGGCCCCGCACTCACAGCAGGTCGGGCCGGTGCCGGTGCAGGATGGCGCAGAAGGCCAGGCCGTCCCGGAAGGAGCTGCTCAGGTCGCGGATCTCCACGCCGCGGTAGCCCTCGCACTGGCGGCGGCACCAGGCCAGCAGCGCGCCCCGCGGCCCAGCCATGACCCCGCGGCCCGCCCGGCTCCGGCTCTGGCTTCGGGGCCCCGGCTTGGCCGGGACGGCGGCCGCCGCGCGGGCCCGGTTTCCGGCTGCGGCTGCGGCTCCGAGCTCGGGCGCCGACCGGCAGGCGAGGGGAGGGGCGGAGGCGGGGCCGCGGTGTCCTCGCTCGGGCGCCCCGCGGCCCTGCCCTAACCTGCCCGAGCAGCGCCGCCGCGTGGCCCGGCCCGGCCGGCCGCCGCCTACTCCGCGCTGCCCGCTCGCCTCATTGTGGGCCGGTCGTGGGAGCGGGCGTCCCGCCGCCTCCGTCCGCGCCGGAGGCGCGCCCCACCCAGCAGCAGCTCCGCCTCCAGTGCGGAGCCCACCCCTACCAAGACGGGCCGGCGCCCCATCGCCCGCCCCTCGACGGCGCCGGGCTCCCGCTGCTCCACTGGGTGCCCGCGAAGCCCCCGCACCCGCCGCAAGCGGACCACTCCCCACGATGACTTCACCGCCGCGGCCGCCGCCGCGCCACCCACCGGGAGCCCTCCACCCTTTGGAGGCGGGACACCTCGTGCTCCCATCCGGCCTCCTTCCCGCTCCTAATGACCGCAAATCCCCCCTTCCACCCCTAGCTTGAAACTTTGGGGAGGCAGTTCCCCTGCAGACCTCAGAGCACCCCCCCCCGGATAGCCACCAGCTTCCCTCATCCCGGCTCCCCACCCTAAAGCACCGCTGAGCTGGAAGTTGTCATGTCCACCATCCCCTCCCCCATAGCTTGGCAGGGAGACCCATGCGCCCCTCCGCCACCTTTGGTCCAGGTGTCCCCTAGGTGATTCACTGAGCTCCCCTCAGCCCCTGTGTAAGCTCAGGGATCTCGTCCCTCCCCACTGCGGCCTGCCGGGTCCCCTCAGCCATGGTTAGTGTGGTGGTGGTTTGAGTTCCTATGGGAAGGACCTAGGCCAAGGAGGCCCCTGCCTGGGAGGCATACAGGCAGTTTGTATCTGGCCCTGGAACCTCCCCAAGGCTCATTCTCTATCTTTGCCGTCTTCAAAACCCCCGCCAGCCAACCGACCCTTCCAGCCAGCCAACCCTTCCAGCCAGCCGACCCTTCCGCAGAGGCCCCTCCTGACTCTCCCACAGATGAATCAGCCTCCATCTGCTGCAGAGGTGGTGATGTCACCCTGACCCATGCAATAGTTAGCTGGAGTGGGTATTTCGCTCCCTCCCAAGGGAAGGAACAGGGTCTTAGTCATCTTCATCACCCCTGAGCACTCAGGGGAGTGGAAAGATCAGGCATTTTGGAGCCCTATTAACCCAATCTCCAATCCTGGCTTTCCCCACTCCCTTAGTCATGTGATCTTGTGCCTCCCTGGACCTCAGTTTCCACGACTTAAAAATGGAGATAATACCTGCTTTACAAGGTGGCTGAGAGGATTAAGATGTAAAGTGCCTTACCCTTTAGTTATCACTCATAAATTCTATTGACTCCTGGTACTTGGTAAACATGATGAAATGGACTGAAATATTTTGTACCCAGATTGTCATCTGGGCCATTCTGGGTAAATTATCAAGGAGAGAGGCCGACTTAGGGAATTCTACCTCTTCAAAGTCCACTGAGTCCCAGTCCAGAATACTGGCCCAGGGCCTGGAGAACCCAGCTTGCCAATCTGGGCTGGCCTAACACTCCTGCAACTGGAAGGCCGCCATCTTGGCTCAGTATATGGACTCTCAGGCCACCTAGGAAGAGCATGGCCAGAGTGCCTGGCTAGCCCTCTGGACTTCTCACCAGCCCTGAGCTGCCAACTCCTGCCCTGTCCCCTGTGGGATAACAGTGGCAGGAAAGCAGGATTCCGGATGCTTTTTATGAAATCAGGGACTTGGGTTCAGGATCCTGACACCAGCATCCACCTAGGCCTTCAAAGACCACCCAGGACTCTCATTAAAACCTAAGGGGGGCGGGGTTGGGCACCATGGCTCATACCTGTAATCCCAGCATTTTGGGAGGCCGAGGCAGGTGGATCACCTGAGGTCAAGAGCTTGAGAACAGCCTGGCCAACATAGTGAAACCCCGTCTGTACTAAAAATACAAAAAATTGGGCCAGGCGCGGTGGCTCACTGTAATCCCAGCACTTTGGGAGGCCAAGGTGGGCGGATCATGAGGTCAGGAGTTCAAGACCAGCCTGGCTAAGATGGTGAAAGCCCGTGTCTACTAAAAATAAAAAAATTAGCCAGGCGTGGTGGCACGTGCCTATAGTCCCAGCTACTCGAGAGGCTGAGGCAGGACAATCGCTTGAACCTGGGAGGCGGAGGTTGCAGTGAGCCAAGATCACGCCACTGTACTCCAACCTGGGGGACACAGCGAGACTCCATCTCAAAGATGGTGGGTTTTTTTGGCTCACGCCTGTAATCCCAGCACTTTGGGAGGCCAAGGCAGGCAGATCACGAGGTCAGGAGATCGAGACCAGCCTGGCTAACACGGTGAAACCTCATCTCTACTAAAAATACAAAAAATTAGCTGGGCGTGGTGGCACACACCTGTAATCCCAGCAGGAGAATGGCTTGAACCCGGGAGGTGGAGGACGCAGTGAGCTGAGATCGCACCACTGCACTCCAGCCTGGGCAACAGAGTGAGATTCCATTTAAAAAACAAAAAACCAAAAACAAACAAAAGAAACCAGGAGGGATTATAGCCCTGTCCTCACTAGCCTAAAGGGCTCCCTTTAGGTCCCTGAAGACAGCTCCATATCTGATCCTGTTGCCATACTAATAGCTTACACAGCACAGCCTGGTCACCCCCATTAGCCATTTGTGGGCTTTATAAACTCATTATCTGAGTCAGCTCACAATGTTTCGAAGTAAGGACCTGTACGACCACAGTGTGTGACCGCAGGCCAGACAACTCACCCTCATGAACCCCAATTTCTTACCCTATAAAATGAGGATGATAATACTTGCTTTGCCTGAATCCCAGGGTTGTGGGTAACAAGGTGAGATAATGGATGAGAAAATGCTGTGCAGACTGTAAATCCAGGGTTCAGGTGGAAGGTGGGTCTGTGTGTTTACAGGTGAGATCAGAAGCCACAGAGATAGGTGAGTAGGGCACTTGCCCAAAATCATGCTATAATTTCGGGATTAGAATTGAGAGACTTGGGCCCTTAATTCAGTGCTGTTTTGTTTTATTTTTAACTATCAATTAAGAAATGGGGCCAGGCACGGTGGCTCATGCCTGTAATCCCAACACTTTGGGAGCCAAGGCCAGGAGTTCAAGACTAAACCAGCCTGGGCAATATAGGGAGACCCTGTCTTTTTTTGAGACGAGTCTCTCTCGCCCAGGCTGGAGTGCAGTGGCACGATCTCGGTTCACTGCAACTTTCATCTCCCAGGTTCAAGTGATTCTCCTGCCTCAGCCTCCCTAGTAGCTGGGATTATAGGCATGGGCCACCAAGCTCAGCTAATTTTTGTATTTTTAGTAGAGACACAGTTTCGCCATGTTGGCCAGGCTGATCTCAAACTCCTGAGTTTAAGTGATGTGCCCACCTCAGCCTCCCAAAGTGCTGGGATTACAGGCATGAGCCACCATGCCCAGCCTGAATACATCATTCTTATCAAAAATTTAAAAATAAATCTAAAGTTCCAGTTTGACTGTCTCCTTCAACTCTAGTCCCCTCCTAAGAAGTAGCTGCAGTTGTCGGTGTGAAACAGCCTTCCACACCTTGTTCACACATTTATAGTCAAGCATGGATTCAACAATATTTACTGAGCACCTGTTGGGGGCCAGGAGCTGTAAACAAGTAAACAACAAGGAGGCCGGGCACAGTGGCACACCCTGTAATCCCAGCACTTCGGGAGGCTGAAGCAGGTGGATCACTTGAGGTCAGGAATTCAAGACCAGCCTGGCCCACATGGTGAAAATCCGTCTTTACTAAAAATACAAAAATTAGCCAGGTGTGGTGGCACACACCTGTAATCCCAGCTACTCAGGAGGCTGAGGCAGGAGAATTGCTTGCACCAGGGAGGAGAGGTTGCAGTGAACTGACACTGCGCCACTGCCCTCCAGTCTGGGCGACAAAGTGAGACTCTGTCTCAAAAAACACAAAAAACAAAAAACAGGCTGGGCGCAGTGGCTCACGCCTGTAATCCCAGCACTTTGGGAGGCTGAGGCGGGTGGATCATTTGAGGTCAGTAGTTTGAAACCAGCCTGGTCAACATGGTGAAACCCCATCTCTACTAAAAATACAAAAATTAGCTGGGTGTGGTGTGTGCCTGTAATTCCAGCTACTCGGGAGGCTGAGACAGGAGAATCACTTGAGCCTGGGGAGGCGGAGGTTGCAGTGAGCCAAGATCGTGCCATTGTCCTCCAGTCTGGGCAACAGAGTGAGACCCTGTCTCAAAACAAAACAAAACAAAAACAAGGAGAACCTCAGGTGGTGACTGGTGCTGTGACAGAGAATGATGGGGACAGATAGCATAGCCAGGGAACACCTCTTTGAGATGGTAACATCATTTAGGCTGAAGAACACCTAACTCCCAGGGAAGCAAGCTGAATGCAAACAGGTGAGAGCTGTCAGTATAGGTAGAGTTTGAATCCTTTCTCTCTTTTTTTGAGACAGGGTTTCACTTTGTCTCCCAGGCTGGGTGCACTGGCACAATCACGGCTCACTGCAGCCTCCACCTCCTGGAGTCAAGCGATCCTCCCACCTCAGCTTCCCGAGCAGTTGGCACTAACAGGCATGCACCACCACACCCAGATAATTTTGTTTATTTTTTGTAGAGACGGGAGTCTCACTATGTTGCCCAGGCTGATCTTGAACTCCTGGACTCAAGCAATCCACCTGCTTTGGCCTCGCAAAATGCTGAAGTTATATGCACAAGCCCCTGCATCTGGCTGAATCCTTTCTGATTTCTTCCCAGGTAACAGCTGCAGGTGTCTAGCCATGGGGCAGGATCCTGGCAGGGAAGGACTGGCTAGGCCAGGGAAGGAAACAGTTCCATAAACAATTCTGCCTGTAGCCTAATAAAGGCGGGGAAAAGGAAACCAGAGGAACCACGGGAACCCAAAGGAAGCCCTTGACAGTTTGAGGCAGACGGTCGTGTTTCTCCACACACCATTCTTCCAGCCAACAGGCTTTGTAGCATGGCTTTGCAGGAGGGAGGTACAAAAGCAAGATTAAAAACAAGAACTTGGCCGGGTGCAGTGGCTCACGCCTGTAATCCCAGCACTTTGGGAGGCTGAGGCGGGCAGATCATTTGAGGTCAGGAGTTCAAGACCAGCCTGGCCAACATGGTGAAACCCCATCTCTGCTAAAAATACAAAAATTAGGCCAGACGTGGTGGCTCATGCCTGTAATCCCAGCACTTTGGGAGGCCGAGGTGGGCAGATCATGAGGTCAGGAGATTGAGACCATCCTGGCTAACATGGTTAAACCCCGTCTCTACTAAAACAAATACAAAAATTGGCCGAGCATGGTGGCGGGCGCCTGTAGTCCCAGCTACTCAGAAGGCTGAGGCAGGAGAATGGCGTGAACCCGGGAGGCAGAGCTTGCAGTGCGCCAAGATCGTGCCACTGCACTCCAGCCTGGGCGACAGAGCAAGACTCCATCTCAAAAAATAAAATAAAAAAAAAATTAGCCAGGGGTGGTGGCGGGCGCCTGTAAGCCCAGCTACTCTGGAGGCTGAGGCAGGAGAATTGCTCGAACTCAGAAGGGAGACGTTGCAGTGAGTCAAGATGGTGCCACTGCACTCCAGCCTTGGTGATAGAGTGAAACTCCGTCTCAAAAACAAAACAAAACAACAACAAAAAAAATAAAAACAGGCCGGCACGGTGGCTTACACCTTGTAATCCCAGCAGTTTGGGAGGCCGAGGTGGGCAGATCACCTGAGGTCAGGAGTTCGAGACCAGCCTGGCCAACATGGTGAAATCCCATCTCTATTAAAAATGCAAAATTAGCCAGGCATGGTTGCAAATGCCTGTAATCCCAGCTACTCAGGAGGTTGAGGCAGGAGAATCGCTTGAACCCGGGAGGTGGAGGTTACAGTGAGCTGAGATGCGCCATGGCACTCCATCCTGGGCAACAAGAGCGAAACTCCATCTCGAAAAAAAAAAAAGGCCAAGGTTTAAATGTTTTCCCAACATAGAATCTCATCATCCTTACTTTGGATCCAGTGTGCTGAGAAACATTTTAAGACTCCGTCTCAAAAAAGAAAAAAATTATTTTTTTCACCCATGGAATCTAAAAAAGTTGATCTCATAGAAATAGAGAGTAGAGGCCTGGTGTGGTGGCTCATACCTGTAATCCCAGCTACTTGGGAGGCTGAGGCAGGAGGATCGCTTGAGCCAGGGAGGTGGAGGTTTCAGTGAGCTGTGATTGCACCACTGCACTCAAGCCTGGGTGATGGATTAAGACCCTGTCTCAAAAAAAAAAAAAGAAAAGAAAAGAAAGAAATAGCTAGTAGAATGGTAGTTACCAGGGGCTGGTGGGTAGGGGGAGTGGTTGGGGAGATGTTGGTCAAAGGGTGCAAAATTTCAGTTAGATAGGAGGAATAAGTTCAAAGGATCTATTGTACAATGTGGTGACTATTGTTTGTTTGTTTGTTTGTTTGAGATGGAGTCTTGCTTTGTCGCCCAGGCTGTAGTGCAGTGGTGCGAACTCGGCTCACTGCAAGCTCTGCCTCCCGGGTTCATGCCATTCTCCTGCCTCAACCTCCCCAGCAGCTGGGAATACAGGCGCACACCACCTTGCCCGGCTAATTTTTTTGTATTTTTAGTAGAGGCGGGGTTTCACCATGTTAGCCAGGATGATCTCGATCTCCTAACATCGTGATCCACCTGCCTTGGCCTCCCAAAGTGCTGGGATTACAGGCGTGAGCCACGGCACCCTGCCTATGGTGACTATTGTTAATGACAATACATTGTGGGGTTTTTTGTTTTTTGTTTTTCTGAGACAGAGTCTCACTCTGTTACCCAGGCTAGAGTGCAATGGCATATCTCAGCTCACTGCAACCTCCACCTCCTGGGTTCAAGTGATTCTCCTGCCTCAGCCTCCTAAGTAGCTGGGATTACAGGCACTCGTCACTACGTCTGGCTAATTTTTGTATTTTTAGTAGAGACGGGGTTTCACCATGTTGGCCAGGCTGGTCTTGAACTCCTGACCTCATGATCCACATGCCTTGGCTTCCCAAAATATTGGGATTATAGGCATAAGCCACCCTGCCCAGCCGATTCTAGGATTCTTAGGGTGGAATTCTCCAAGTTCCATGGCTGTTTTCTGTGAATCTGACCACTCTGCTCTTCTCTCTTCTACCCAGTCTGTGCCCCAGGAATCAGGGCCCTGCCCAGGTTCTTGGCTCTGAGCTGCTCCCTGGGGGGCAGCCGGGCAGAGCAGTGGACAATGGAAGCATTGTGGGACCTCTGGAGCTGGGGCCTGGGGCAGTGGAAGGCGCTGGTCGCTGGAGTGGCAGTTGCTTCACCGTGTTCCCTCCTTGCTGGGCCAGAGGCATGCCTAGAACATGCCAGGACGGTACCCTGAGCCCCGCCCCTGCCCGCCTGGGTGAGGCCTGGGTCTTCTGGAATCCCAGCTATGCCTGAGGACAGACAGCTATTCCAAGCCTTTGTTCATAGACCATCCTGCCCTGGCAGATACACATTCTGGAAAATACACCTGGGACTGGGCAAGTGGTCTTGCCTCCCTACCCCAAAACTGAACTATCCTCCAACTAAACCCTCCAGAACAGAGAGGACATGTGCTGGCTCTCACTGGGCGGGTGCTGTCTGAGCTGGGAAACCCTCACACTTGTCTGGGGCTCCACGAGGGGGCAGGTCAAAGAAGCCACTGAAATATCCAAACTGGCAGGGACCCTTATCTAGCAAAGCCCTCTCAGTACACTGAGAGGAGAGACTGGAGCCCAGAGAGCAGAGGTGTTTGCTCCAGGTTGTAGAGACTCTTAGGAGGGGAGCAGGGCCCCCCATCCAGCTGCCCCACACTCTCTATGCTTCTGGCTGCTTGCTGAGGTCTCAGCCTGCCAGGCTCTCTCCCCTTTTGACTGCTCTTGAAATGGCTACTGCTGCTGTTCCAAATTGTCCACAGGCTTTATGACCTAGCTCAGACATCATCCCCTCCCTGAAGCCTTCTGTGATGGGCCCAGACAGAAGCCACAACTTCAGATCTTCTCACAGAATCCCACCCTTAGAGGGGACCTAGAGGGGATGTGCTTGCTAATTTACAGAGGAATTTCCACATGTCTACTACTGGCAGACCAGTGTGGAAGAAGCTCTATAAACAATCACAACGAACAGTCACAGAAAGACAAGGGTAGGGATGTGATGGAGAGAGGGGCCGAATGCTATAGGGCTTCCAGAAGGAGCCTGTCACCTCCTGCCAGGGACTGAGAGACAGCCCAGAGGGCTACATGTAGGAGGTGGCATTTGAACTGTTGCTCACATTGTATGGCATGTATTTGTGCATACCTGTCTCTCTTCATTGGATTGTGACATCATTAATGATACAGTTATGTAACTTTATGAGCACTAACCACACTCTAGACATCATGTGTGTGTTTGTGTGTTGTTTTTGTTGTTAAGGTACATTACCATATTGAATCCTCACAATTCTGTGAGCTAGGAGCTATCTCATTATCCCCATTTACTGATGAGGACAAGGCTCTGAGGGTTCAACAAGCATGTTCAAAGCCACACAGCTGTCAAAACTTGCAGTCACACTTGAAAAATAAAAATAAAAGTAAAATAAAATGAATATAATATGAACATAGCTAACAACAACAACAACAACAAAAAGTGCAGTCAGGACTCAGCCTAGCTATTTTTTTTTTTTTTTTTTTTGTTGCCCAGGCTGGAGTGAAGTGGTGTGATCTCTGCTCACTGCAACCTCCGCCCCCTGGATTCAAGCGATTCAGCCTCCTGAGTAGCTAGCTGGGATTATAGGCGCCTACCACCACGTCGCTAATTTTTGTATTTTTAGTAGAGATGGGGTTTCGCCATGTCGGCCAGGCTGGCCTAGAACTCCTGACCTCCGGTGATTCACCCACCTCAGCCTCCCAAAGTGCTGGGATTACAGGCGTGAGCCTAGCTCTGGCCTCAGCCTAGCTCTTTCTGACTTTACAAAGAACTTTCTTCTGGTGTATGGAGGCAGGCATTGTGTCCAGTTTACCACTGCATGCCTGGTTTTCACTGTAAATTCATTCGTTATCTTCCTGTGAGTTTGGTGAGCAAGAACCCCGCTGGGAGCCCCAGCTCCACAGCCTCTGCAGACCCTGGCTGCACTGAGGCCTTGATCCACGATACCAAAGGCCATTTCAGGACAGAAAGCTCCCAAGGCCTCCAGCCTTTGCTGTCTAGGAACTTCCCATCTCCCCTTCAACTTCAATTATTATTGGTGCTGGGATTTTTCCAGCAGGCCAGCAGGATTGATGTTTGGGTGCTAATGTAGTATTCAAGGCCCTAATAGTTGGGCTCCTGTCACTCTATAGGAGGAGCTCAGGGGCAGAAATTTGGCAGGAAGAAAGGGAAGGAGACTAGAGCCTATAATCCTAGCTAGCTATTCGGGAGGCTGAATTGCTTGAATCTAGGGAACAGAGGTTGCAGTGAGCCGAGATTGCACCACTTCACTCCAGCCTGGGCAAAACAACAACAACAATGACAACAACAAACAGCTAGGCTGAGTCCTGACTTTTATTTTACTTGACTTAGAATTTGGTCTGCATAGCAAGCCCATTGTTTATGATTTGGCTGTAGGTTAAGCCCACTGCTTATGATTTGGCTGTAGGTTTAGGGGGTGCCAGATTATTTGGGGTGGGGGAGCTAGAGCCCTCCCTACTACCCCCTCAGTATCAATCTGGCCTGCTCTGCAGGCAAAGGCAGGCAGAGTGGGAAACAGTTTCTGAGCCTTCCTGACACAGGAAGGTAGCCTCTCCTCTGAGGCCTGAGTGGCAAGGAAGGGGCTGTCAGACACCGGAAGAGGCCTGTTTGTCTCCCAGCTACCTGAGGTCATATGTATATGGTGTTGTGAGCCAGGCAGCTCTTCCTGTTAGAAACAGAAAGTGAGGCTTGTGTTGAAATTCTGGGAGTGAGCTGCTCTTTCCTCTAAATAGAGCAGGGGTTAGACAGGGCACAACTTATCCCCAGGTGATACAATACACCCGGGATGGATATGAGTCATCCCAAACACCTATATCATACCCGAGTTCACTATGCTCGGATTTATGTATTGTTTAGGGACAGGGTCTTGCTCTGTCGCTCAGGCTGGAGTACAGTGGTGTGATCATAGCTCACTGTAACTTTGAACTCGGCTCAAGCAATCCTCCCGACTTAGATTCCCAAGTGGCAAGGACTATAGGCATGCACCACCACGCCTGGCTAATTTTTTAATTTAATTTAATTAATTTATTTTTTTAGGACAGAGTCTCGCTCTGTTGCCCAGGCTGGAGTGCAGTGGCGCCATCTCGGCTCACTGTAAGCTCTGCCTCCCAGGTTCACGCCATTCTCCTGCCTCAGCCTCCCTAGTAGCTGGGACTACAGGCGCCTGCCACCATGCCTGGCTAATTTTTTTGTATTTTTAGTAGAGACGGGGTTTCACTGTGTTAGCCAGGATGGTCTTGATCTCCTGACCTCGTGATCTGCCCACCTCGGCCTCCCAAAGTGCTGGGATTACAGGTGTGAGCCATTGCGCCCAGCCCTCATTTTTTTATTTTTATTTTTGTAGAGACAGGGTCTCGTTATCTTGTCCAGGCTGGTCTCAAACTCCTAGGCCTAAGCAATCCTCCCACCTCAGCCTCCCAAGGTGTTGGGATTACAGGCATGAGCCACTGTGCCAGGCCTATGTTGACACTTAGAAAGACCTAGATAGGGGAGAATTACTCTCCTCATTTGACTATGACAAAGCAGAGGCTCAGAGAAGTTAAGCCAAGTGCCTGGAATTTTCCAGTTTCAAGGGGCAGCGTCAGGGTTTGAACCTAGACTCCCTTCCACTTCCCAACCATGACTAGAGAGTGAAGTCCACCCTCTCAGGATCCACTGGCCCCAGGTAAGAAAGTAGGGGTGGGAGTCAGGGCGTGAAGGAGATAACTTGATCTTAATCAAGTGGCTGGATAGGGGCAGGGTGGGGCCAGAAAGAAAGAAAAGCCAGGTCTTTCAGCTGCAGGCTTGACAGGAATGTGGAGCCACAGGAACCAAGACAAGTTGCTGCTTCCCCTAGCCCTCTCCTTCGGGAAAATCTCAGGAACTTGCTGATCAGGCTTTGGACCTTTCCCTTGCCTCCCTCTCAGCTTCTTCTTGATGCCCTTCCCCCACATTGGAGGCCAGTTCCTGACCCGGGCCACAGCCACTCCAGCCTATATCCAGTCTGCAGGGCAGGCTGGGGGTGGGGACGGGAGGCCACTGTTAGCAAGAGCCAGCGTGGGCACCACGGCTTTCCCTGGCTAAAGGCTGGGCTGGAGAGTACATCCATTCATCAATTCATCTGTGCCGCTACATTCCAGACAGGATTTAAGGCACACTCCAGCCTTATTCCTATACTGATATTGTTGCATTCAATCCTTATTCACTTACTTCCTCTTGCATTCACCATTCATTCAACAGAATCGCTTTACCGAAAGGGTCATTGCTCCCAAGTGCTGCCTCTTTCCTCCTATTAGATCCATTTAGATCCTTAGGATGTCACCCAGAATTCTAGAATGCAGGGCTGCAGCCCCCAGACAGCGGCTAGTCCCACTGCCTCATTTAGAAGATGAAGCCATCCGGAGCCACCTATGGTCAAGGCGATCATAGGAGGAAAAGCACCCCACGCCCCCAACTTGGACTCACAATCCAGTGTAGGAGAAGGATGCAGAGAGGGGGACTGTGTGGAAAGAAGTGTGCCAAGCCCAGGCTGGGCGCAGTGGCTCACACCTGTAATCCCAGCACTTCAGGAGGCCAAGGCAGGCAGATCACCTGAGATCAGGAGTTCAAGACCAGCCTGGCCAACATGGCAAAACCCCGTCTCTACTAAAAATACAAAAATTAGCCAGGCATGGTGGCAGGCACCTGTAATCCCAGCTACTCAGGAGGCTGAGGCAGGAGAATCGCTTGAACCTGGGAGGTGGACGTTGCAGTGAGCTGAGATCATGATATTGCACTCCAGCCTGCGCAACAGGGACAAAACTCCATCTCAAAAAAAAAAAAAAAAAAAAAAGAATAAGTGTGCCAAGCCCACCAGGGACTTGTCTGAGGAGGAACCAGCTCTAGCCTAGGGGCCTGGAGACCAGGGTTCCAGCCCCAGCTGTTCATTGCCTCTGCCCAAATTGTTAGGCCCTGGGCACCTCCACCTGGACGTCCCACAGGCTCCTCAAACTCCTGTTCCTTACCCACTTGCACTTACCTCCTCCAGTCCCAAACCTGCTCCAGCCACCAACCCCCATCTCAGACAGCCTGAGAACTGGGCATCTCACTTCCCTACAGCCTCCACATCCACTCAGCTGCCACATCCAAGTCCTGTCCTCTGCAACCTCCCAATCTCTCCAATTCTCCCCTCATGCCTGCTGCCGACACTGTGCGTGGGGCCCAGCTCCTCCGTGGCTGGCTGCTCTAGACAAGTGCCCTGGCCTCTGTGAATGGGCCTCCACACTGTCTAAACAGGCCTTCTCTTTGGTCCTTGGAGCAGTTAAGAGAGCCCCAGGGGGGAGTCTGGAGGTTTCCAGTCCCAGCTCCACCAGGAAGTAGCCGGGCTGTTCCACACATGACCTGCCTCAGTCATCTATAGCTCTACGGCTCTGGAGGCCAAGGTCATGGCCAGGTAACAATGGCCTCCCTCCCCTTATCACACACTCTACCCAAGTGTTTTAGTAAGGCCCTCCTCCCCTTATCACACACTACTGCCAGGTGATTTGCTAAGAACTTTACATAATTTGGTGCACAGAACAATTCTGAGGCAGGCGCTAACCCCATTTTAGAGAAAGGTGAGGCACTGAAAACTACGCAACTTGGCTCAGCTGGTATGTGGCAGTCAGGACTCAGACCAGGGTCCAAGGAAGTCCAAGCCTACACACTTTGCTCTGCCCCCTTCTCTTGCTGGTGGAGAAACTTCTGGAAACTGGTACCACCCAGAGCTCCCCATTCCCCGATAACAAAGCCCTTGCTCTCCTTAGCATGGGGGGGATCATGAACCTGGTTATTCTGCTCTGATGGAATAAAAATCCTGAGCTGGCCACAGCTGATGAATGCTGTGCATTCCGCGAGTGGTGCCAGGCAGAGTCCAGCTGTGCCTGCCCCCTCACAGGGGTTGCTAGCTGCCTGGCCTGGCTGCTGAGCCTGGACCAAGCTGCTGGGAGATGGCCCCAAGCCAGGCACTCATACACACTGGGTCTGTGTGACCCAGAGTGCCTGCAATGGCCTCACAGCAAAAAGAGTGCCAAGAGCCGTGTCAGACAACACACTTGGACCTGGCATAATTGTAATGATAGAGAACTATGACATGAACTATGAAACTGGCATTGAATTCAAAACACATTAACCCAGGGGGCTGCCCAGTTGAGTCGGAGTTCCTGCAAGCCACCATCACCAAATGTCAGGGCATAGTGGACAAAGCATGAGACATTCTTTAGGAGGAATCAATGCACAGCAACCTCCCTGCACCAAGGAACCATGTGGTAGCCAGGGAGTGGGGGGTAAGGAGCCCTGGCTGGCACTGGGCCACTCATTCGGTTCCAACAAGGCAACAGATGAAGGACGGCTTGGAAAGCTACCAAGAGCTCTACAAATGTTTGGACTTATAACTAGAGGCTGCTTTTTAAAAATTCCTTTGGGCCCGGGCACAGTGGCTCATGCCTATAATCCCAGCATTTTGGGAGGCCAAGGCAGGTGGACTGCTTAAGCTCAGTTCAAGAGCAGTCTGGGCAACATGGCAAAACACCATCTATACAAACAAAACTATAAAAAATTAGCTGGGCATGGTGGTGTATGCCTGTGGTCCCAGTTAATTTGGAGGCTGAGACAGGAGGATCACTTGAGCCCAGGAGGCAGAGGTTGCACTGCAGTGCGCCAAGCTTGTGCCACTGCACTCCAGTCTGGGTAATAGAGCGAAACTCTTGTCCCAAAAAATAAATAAAATCCTGGCTCCATCCTTTAGCTCTGGGAACTTGGACAAGTTCTGCAACCTCTCTGGTGAAGGATGGCTTCCCACCTCACTGAGATTCAAAGTCGGTCCTTCCTGTCTTCTACAAGGCCTTACATACAACCTGGAGCCTCATTCCAGGATCTGGCCTCTTCCTCCTTGCTACCTTCTGCTCCAGCTGGCCTTCTTGCTCCATTTGCTCCACATATAAAACATGCTGTGGCCTCAGGACCTTTGTACTTGCAGTTTTTTTCCTGGAGAGCTCTTGCCTCACATACTTGCACCATCCCCCTCCTAATGTCTTCAGGTCTCTGCTCAAATGACGCCAATCAGTGTGGTCCCTGACTATCCTATTCACAATAGAAACTCCTGCCTTCGATTTTTCTCTACAACACATACCACCATCCAACACACTAAATATGGCTTATCACCTGTCTTCAACCATTAGAATTTGAGTCTGAAGACAGGAATTCGGTCTTTTCCCACGTCCCGACTTCCCCCTTGCCTATCAGTGCCTGGCTGGTTTGCTCGTAGAAAAGGACCCAGCTTTCTGTCCCTGAATCCTCCAATGGCTTGATACACAGGAGGCAATGCATTCAATTCCTGCCTGGGGCTGCTCTATCACAGACTTGGGACTTAAACAACAGAGATTTCTCCTCTTACGGTTCCAGAAGCCACGAGTCCAAAACCAGAGGCTCCAGGGGAGAAGCCATCCCTGCCTCTTCCAGCTCCCAGTGGCCCCGCACATTCTTTAGCTTGTGCCTGCTAACTCCATCAGCCTGTCTTCACGTGGCCTTCTCCTCCTGTCTCTTTCCTCAGTGTCTCTCATGACACTTGTCATTGGATTTAGTGCCTACCTGGATAATCCAGAATGATCTCATTTTTAAAAATGTATTTTTAATACATGGGAACACTTCACAAATTTGCATGTCATCCTTGCACAGGGGCCATGCTAAACTGCATCATTCCAATTTTGGTACATGTGCTGCTAAAGCAAGCACAATGATCTAATTTTGAGATCTTTAACTTACAACCATTAAGACCTTCTTCCAAATAAGGTCATGCTGGCTGGGCACAGTGGCTCACGCCTGTAATACCATCACTATGGGAGGCTGAGGCAGGCAGATCACCTGAGGTCAGGAGTTTGAGACTAGCCTGGCCAACATGGCAAAATACCATCTCTACTAAAAAAATATAAAAATTAGCAAGGTGTGGTCGTGGGTGCCTGTAGTCCCAGCTACTCAGGAGGCTGAGGCAGGAGAAATGGTGCCTGTAGTCCCAGCTACTCAGGAGGCTGAGGCAGGAGAATCTCTTGAACCCAGAAGGTGGAGGTTGCAGTGAGCTGAGATTGCACCACTGCACTCCAGCCTGGGCGACAGAGCGAGATTCCATCTCAAAAACAAAAACAAAAACAAAACAAAGAAGGCCGGGCACTGTGGCTCATGCCTGTAATCCCAGCACTTTGGGAGGCCGAGATGGGTGATCATCTGAGGTCAGGAGTTTGAGACCCACCTGACCAACATGGTGAAACCCAGTCTCTACTGAAAATACAAAAAGCCAGGCGCAGTGGCTCACGCCTATAATCCCAGCACTTTGGGAGGCTGAGGCAGGCAGATCACCTGAGGTCAGGAGTTCGAGACTAGCCTGGCCAACATCGCGAAACCTCGTCTCTATTAAAACTACAAACATTAGCCAGGCGTGGTGGCGTGCACCTGTAGTCCCAGCTACTTGGGAGGCTGAGGCAGGAGAACCGCTTGAACCCCGGAGGCGGAGGTTGCAGTGAGCCGAGATCGCGCCATTGCACTCCAGCCTGGGCAATAAGATCAAAACTCTGTCTCAAAAAAATAAACAAAAATAAAAATACAAAAAATTAGCCAGGCATGGTGGCATGCAACTACTTGGGAGGCTGAGGTAGAATAGCTTGAACCTGGGAGGCAGACGTTGCAGTGAACAGAGATCGTGCCACTGCATGCCAGCCAAACAAATAAGGTCATGCTGATGGCATCCAGGGCTTAGGATATGGACATGTCTTCTTGGGAACCACCATTCAGTTCCCAATAATAATTATCAAACCAATGGGGAAAAAGAGCATACTGAAAAGCTTACGAATTCCAAGTGTGGGGAAACAGTAACTGAACATCCATTATAGGCCAGGCACTGCACTGGGCACTCAAAATAGCATTCTCATTTATTCGTCACCACTGCCCAGTGAGCCAGGTTCTGCTACACTTATTTTTTATTTTTTTTAGACGGAGTCTCGCTCTGTAACCCAGGCTGGGGTCCAGCGGCACGATCTCTTGGCTCACTGCAAGCTCCGCCTCCCGGGTTCACGCCATTCTCCTGCCTCAGCCTCCCGAGTAGCTGGGACTACAGGCGCCCGCCACCACGCCCGGCTAATTTTTTTGTATTTTTAATAGAGACAGGGTTTCGCCATGTTAGCCAGGATGGTCTCGATCTCCTTGACCTTGTGATCCGCCCGCCTCGGCCTCCCAGTGCTGGGATTACAGGCGTGAGCCACCGCGCCTGGCCTGCTAACCTTATTTTATATACAAGGAACCAGGCAGAGATGTGAGACAACTTGCAAGCAGGGGCTTCCAGTCCAAGTACCCACTATAGGGTGACAGGCATAGCATTAATACTGTGGGTAGGCAGGAAACCATTTAGCTCAGCTCCAGCAGCTGCCTAATGTGACCTTGATCAAGTCACTAACTACTGTGGGTTCATTTCCTCATCAATAAGATGAGGAACTACTACTAAACCTGAGTTGTAAGGTGTAAGTAATGTATATGGATCCCTCTTTGCACAGTTCCTGGCAGTAGGAGGTGTTCAATAGTTTCCTTCCAGGACCCAGCACTGCCACAAATATGTCATGAAAATTATAGGTCATTTAAAGTTCATAGGATCTTGTGACGCACAAACAAAATACTGAACGTGAAAATGTCCTGTAAACCAAATATACTGCTTTATGAACAAGAGGGATTTAAGAATTCAATTTAGGGCTGGGCACGGTGGCTCACGCCTGTAATCCCAGTACTTTAGGAGGCAGAGATGGGCAGATCACGAGGTCAGGAAATCTGAGACCATCCTGGCTAACACGGTGAAACCCCATCTCTACTAAAAAATACAAAAAATTGGCCGGGCATGGTGGCGGGTGCCTGTAGTCCCAGCTACTTGGGAGGCTGAGGCAGGAGAATGGCAGGAACCTGGGAGGTGGAGCTTGCAGTGAGCCGAGATCGCGCCAGTACACTCCAACCTGGGCGACAGAGTGAGACTCCGTCTAAAAAAAAACAAAAAGATTTTGAATTTAGGCGGGGCGTGGTGGCTCATGCCTGTAATCCTAGCACATTTTGGGAGGCCAAGGCAGGCGAATCACTTGAGGCCAGGAGTTCGAGACCAGCCTGGCCAACATGGTAAAACCCATCTCTACTGAGAATACAAAAATTAGCTGAGTGTGGTGGCACACGCCTGTAATCCCAGCTACTTGGAAGGCTGAGGCAGAACTGCTTGAACCTGGGCAGCGGAGGATGCAACGAACTGAGATCACGCTACTGCACTCCAGCCTGGGAGACAGAGTGAGACTCCATCTCAAAAGCACAAAATAAAAATAACTCAATTTAAACACTAACAACTGATGTATCCTGAAAGCATCAGGACACATGGGAAATGTATTACTGCCACAACCCACAAATTCTCTCCTACAATAATGAGACGACAAATCTGGCTCCAAAGATCCTTTACTGAGATCCACTTGAAACACTTCGGTCCTTAACTTGTTAACTGAGTTGACAGGCTGATGGCTGATCTAGGTAAAGGTTTCACGGTAGCAAAAACACTTCCTGCCTATAATACATCAAAACAGGTTCCTGAATGTGTGTGAATATCATCAAGGTCTCTGTCCCATCTTCTTCAGGGTTCGATTAAGCTAGAAGAGAAAGAAAAGCAAAGTTACATACGGGGATTTCCCCAACCCCTTTCCTACAGTGTGTATGATCACTAGGTCAGATTCCCAGCTGCCCCTCTGAAGCCAAGAAAGGAAGTTTCTGATGTGGGTGTCCACTATGTGTGTGCAAAGCCGTGACATTCATATGGCCCTGCACAGTTCACGCGGATTATTCTTTTATCTGCCCTTCACACTCAACAAACCCATACACAACACTGCTCTATCCATCTGACAGAAAAAGGATTCAGACTGGCCAGACGTTTCAAGGTTACTAGTTCAGTTAGGGGAAGAATGAGAAGCTTTGAACAGGATCCTTGTTAGAAGACAGCCCTAGCCCACCACCCTGACAGATGTGATCTAAACAGCCAGAAAGTAAAAAGAGCAGCAGGGCTGTTATGATCCTGCAGGAAGAGCCTGACCTCTGCTGGAGAACTCAAAGCACCAGGACACAGTAGCCCTAGCAATGGCCACAAAGAGAGACCCACACCCTTACAGTGTTTGGCCTGACCCACAAGACCTCTCCTAGGGCAAGACAAGGAATGCACCAAGTATGTCAAAACAGAGCTTCCTGTCCTCCAGCCTACAGGAACTAGCCAGACCTGTCTAAGTTGGAAAACAATGCCAAACGGGGAGGGATGGGCAAGAGCAGGCAGTGAATCCACCCATATTAGGAAATACCAGGGAGGGAGAGGAGAGCTGGCCACCCGCAGAGGGAGATCTTGGAAAGAGATGCTCTGGAGAAGGCTGATGCAGCAATTCCTACAGGCCCAACCCCACTCCCCAAACCCCAAGCAGCCAGCCAGTCTAGCTTGAAAATTTAAAGGGCCAACCTCAAGCTTTCTTTTGCAGTGGCATGATCTCTGCTCACTGCAGCCTCCATCTCCCAGGTTCAAATCATTCTCCTGCCTCAGCCTTCTGCGTAGATGGGATTACAGGTGCGCACCACCACACCCAGCTAATTTTTTTAATTTTTAGTAGACATGAGGTTTCACCATGTGGCCAGGCTGGTCTTGAACTCCTGATCTCAAATTCAGCCTCCCAAAGTGCTGGGATTACAGGCATGAGCCACTGCACCTGGCCTCTTTTTCTTTTTTTTTTTTCTTGAGACAGGGTCTTGCTCGGTTGCCCAGGCTGGAGGGCAGTAGGCTTTCTTAATAACAGAAATGAAAAATTTAAAAGGCCAGGCATGGTGGCTCATGCCTGTAATCCCAACACTTTGGGAAGCTGAGACGGACTGGATCACTTGAGGCCAGGAGCTGGAGACCAGCCTGGCCAACATGGTGAAACCCCATCTCTACCATAAATACAAAAATTAGCTGGGTGTGGTGGCACACACCTGTAATTCCAGCTATGCGGGAGGCTGAGGAGGGAGACTCGCTTGAACCCAGGAGGCAGAGGTTGCAGTGAGCTAAGATCACGTCGCTGCACTCCAGCATGGGTGACAGCACAAGACTCCATCTCAAAATAAATAAAGGAATAAAAATTAAAAAAAAGTAAACTCTCGATTCAGTTCCTAAGCTCTGTCCTGAGCCAACAAACCCCTCTTCTCTCAGATCTCTCACCTCCTCAAATTTGTGGATCTGACGGATGAAGAAATCCCCATAACGCCTGGCGACCTTGGTGTCCGCGATGTGGATCATGTCCTGTGGGGGAAAGCACAGTCAGGGAAGAGCAGCCAGGTGGAGGAGCAGGGCCATCTAACCCAGGAGCCACCATGGACTTGCAAGTGATAATGATGGTGAGTGTTAGATGTAAAGGTGGGGAAAAGACCACTGGAAAAACACCACCAGTTAACAGTAACTCACTCTTTCTAGAGAGTTTTTCTTTTCTTTTTTTTTTTGAGATGGAGTTTTGCTCGTCGCCCAGGCTGGAGTGCAATGGCATGATCTCAGCTCACTGCAACCTCCGCCTCCAGGGTTCAAGCAATTCTCTTGCCTCAGCTTCCCAAGTAGCTGGGATTACAGGCTCCCGCCATCTTGCCTGGCTAATTTTTGTATTTTTAGTAGAGATGAGGTTTTACCATGTTAATCAGGCTGGTCTCAAACTCCTGACCTCAGGTGATCCACTCGCCTCAGCTTCCCAAAGTGCTGGGATTACAGGCATGAGCCAATGTGCCCGGCCTAGTTTATATATATTTTTTTTATCAATTCATTTGTACTTTTATTTTCTAGACTTTTTTTTTGTCTTTTATTTTCTAGTCTTTTTTTTTTTTTTGAGATGGAGTCTTGCTCTGTCACTCAGGCTGGAGTGCAGTGGTGCGATCTCGGCTCACTGCAAGCTCCACCTCCCGAGTTCACACCATTCTCCTGCCTCAGCCTCCCGAGTAGCTGGGACTACAGGCACCCGCCACCATGCCTGGCTAATTTTTTTTGTATGTTTTTAGTAGAGACGGGGTTTCACCATGTTAGCCAGGATGGTCTCGATCTCCTGACCTCATGATTCGCCCGTCTTGGCCTCCCAAAGTGTTGGGATTACAGGCGTGAGCCACCGTGCCCAGCCTCGTCTTTTTTATTTTGGGAATAAAGATGTTTATGCTGGCTGGGCATGGTGACTCACGCCTGTAATCCCAGCACTTTGGGAGGTTGGGAATTCAAGACCAGCCTGACCAACATGGTGAAACCCCATCTCTACTAAAAATTAGCTGGGCGTAGTGGCGGGCACCTGTAATCCCAGGAGGGAGAGGTTGCAGTGAGCCGAGACTGCGTCACTGCACTCCAGCTTGGGTGACAAAGTGAGACTCCATCTCAAAAAAAAAAAAAAAAAAAAGTTTATGCTCCTACACTGTTGATAAAATTGCAAATTAGTCCAATCTTTAAGTTTTGTTTTTAGCTGAAAATATTTTGAACACCATTTTACTTTAAAATTTTCTATATCCCCTAGGTTAAGATCTAAGAACGTTCTAAATCTCTGATAGGATTTCTTTCAAGTTAAGAATGAAGAGTCAAAAAGGAAAAAAAAAAGAAGCACTTTGCCAAAGACAAACCTGAACCAGCAACAGAGGAATAACAGTAAAACATGCAATTAAATAATAATCAAATAGCCAATTCTTAGGAGAAATGTTTTGTTAAACTACCCAGATTAGTTGAGAATAGCTAGGCTGGTAATTAAGAGGTGACAGAGGAATGCAGGAGGCTACTATAATTGCCAAAGAACGTATATATGTCAGGTATTGAGAAAAAACTAGGCCAGGCATGGTGGCTCACACCTGCAATCCCAGCACTTTGGGAGGCAGAGGTGGGCAGACTACCCGAGCCCAAGAGTTTGTATTTGAGACCAGGCTGGGCAACATGGTAAAACCCCATCTCTACAAAAAATACAAAAATTAGCAAGATGTGGTGGTGCAGTCCTGTAGTCCCAGCTACTTGAGAAGCTGAGATAGGAGGATCACCTGAGCCCCCGGGAGTTGAGGCTGCAGTGAGCTGTGATTTTGCCACTGCACTCCAGCCTGGACAACTGGAGGATTAAGATGCTATCTTAAAAAAAAAAAAAAAAAAAAAAAAAAAAAAGGCTTGACATGATCCTGGCAAGGGAGAAAGTTTTCTTTATTTTTATTTATTTATATATTTATTTATTTTTAGAGGCAGGGTCTCACTTTGTTACCCAGGCTGCACTGCAGTGGTAAGATCTTAGGTCACTGCAGCCTCAAACGCCTGGGCTCAAGCCATCCTCCTGCCTCAGCGTCCTAAGGCAGGGGCTATAAGGGACTCTCTCCCATAGCTGGGACTACAAGTACACGCTACGAAGCCTGGCTCAGTTTTCTTTGATTTATAAAAGCATGATTTAAAACACTGGAAAACTTCCACTACTGACGTGTTATTACTTTTGGCAAATCTGTTTGTATCGGGCTAGCTAACTTATGGCAAAAACCAAGTCTTCCAGAAGCCATAAAAATGAAATGAGAGTATTTATTTTAAAGCAAAATGAACTTTCAAAAACAAACTACCCAAACTGACCTAGAAATTCCACAACTAGATATATATCTGAAAATTAAAAACATATGTTCACACAATAACTTCTAGATGAATATTCACAGCAGCACTATTCATAAGCCAAAAAGTGAAAAAAGGAACAAAAAACCCCCAAAAACCAAAAACCCCAAATGTGCAACAACAAATGGATAAACAAAATGCAGTACATTAATACATGGGATATTATTCAGCTATAAAAGGAATGTACTGACACATGCTATAATATGGATGAAACTTGAAGACATGCTCAGTGAAAGGACCCAAACACAAAAGTCCATATATTACATGATTCCATTTATCTGAAATGTCAAATGCAGAGAGACCAAAGCAGATTAGGGGTTTGCTAGGGGATGGCAGAAAGGGGGAACTGGGGAACTGCGAGTGACTGCTAGTGGGTAGGGAGTTTCTTTTTGGGGGGACAGAAATGTTTTGGAATTAGACAGTGGAGATGGTTGCAAAACACTGTGAACATACTAATAACCACTGAATTCTTCATTCATTCATTCATTCATTCTATTTATTTATGGAGACAGGGTCTCACTCTGTCACTCAGGCTGGAGTGCAGTGGCATGATCTTGGCTCACTGCAACCTCCACCTCCTAGGCTAAAGCGATTCTTGTGCCTCAGCCTCCCAAGTAGCTGGTATTACAGGCATGCGCCCCCACACTCAGCTAATTTGTGTATTTTTAGTACAGATGGGGTTTCACCATGTTGGCCAGGCTGGTCTTGAACTCCTGGTCTCAAGTGATCTGCCAGCCTTGGCCTCCCAAAGTGCTGGGATTATAGGTGTAAAGCATCACACCTGGCCAAATTGCACATTTTAAAATGGTGAAGTTTATATCCTGCAATTTTTTTTTTTGAGATGGAGTCTCGCTCTGTCGCCCAGGCTGGAGTGCAGTGGCGCGAGCTCTGCTTACTGCAAGCTCCGCCTCCCGGGTTCACACCATTCTCCTGCCTCAGCCTCCCGAGTAGCTGGGACCACAGGCGCCCACCACCATGCCCGGTTAATTTTTTGTATTTTTAGTAGAGACAGGGTTTCACCGTGTTAGCCAGGATGGTCTTGATCTCCTGACCTCGTGATCTGCCTGCCTCAGCCTCCCAAAGTGCTGGGATCATGCAAGTTTTTTTTTTTTTTTTTTTTTTGAGACGGAGTTTCACTCTTGTTGCCCAGGCTGGAGTGCAATGGCACGATCTTGGCTCACTGCAACCTCCACCTCCCGGGTTCAAGCAATTCTCCTGCCTCAGCCTCCGGAGTAGCTGAGATTACAGGCATGCGCTGCCACGTCTGGCTAATTTTGTATTTTTAGTAGAGATGGGGTTTCTTCATGTTGGTCAGGCTGGTCTTGATCTCCTGACCTCAAGTGATCCGCCCACCTTCGCCTCTCAAAGTGTTGGGATTACAGGCGTGAGCCACCATGCCCAGCCTTTTTTTATTTTTTTGAAGTGGAGTCTCGCTCTGTTGCCCAGGCTGGAGTGCAGTGGTGCAATCTTGGCTTACTGCAACCTCCGCCTCCTAGGTTCAAGCAAGTCTCCTGCCTCAGCCTCCCAAGTAGCTGGGACTACAGGCACCCGCCACCACGCCCAGCTAATTTTTGTATTTTTAGTAGAGATGGGGTTCACCATATTGGCCAGGACGGTCTTGATCTCCTGACCTCGTGTTCCGCCTAGCTCGGCCTCCCAAAGTGCTGGGATTACTTGCGTGAACCAACGCGCCCGGCTTATCATGCAAATTATGTATAAAAATTATGTTTTTTTCTTTTTTTGAGACAGTCTCTCACTCTGTTGCCCAGGCTGGAGTGCAGTGGCACAATCTCGGCTCACTGCAGCTTCTGCTTCCCAGGTTCAGGTGATTCTCGTGCCTCAGCCTCCCGAGTAGCTGGGATTACAGGAACGCACCACCATGCCCGGCTAATTTTTTAAATATTTTTAGTAGAGACGGGGTTTCACCATGTTGCACAGGCAGGTCTTGAACTCCTGACCTCTGATGATCTACCCACCTTGGCCTCCCAAAGTGATAGGATTACAGGTATGAGCCACTGCACTCAGCCTAAAATTATGTATTTTTAAGAACTGCTCAAAAAGTGCTATTTCCAACAATACATTTAGACCAAAATGCTTTTTCTCTTTTTTTCAAGATGCAGTCTCATCTCTGTCACAAAGGCTGGAATGCGGTGGCTTGATCTCAGCTCACTGCAACCTCTGTCTCTTGGGCTCAAGTGAGTCTCCTGTCTCAGCCTCCCAAGTTACTGGGATTACAGGCATGTGCCACCATGCCTGGCTAATTTTTATATTTTTAGTAGAGACAGGGTTTCACCATACTGGCCAGGATGGTCTTGATCTCCTGACCTCAGGTGATCCACCCGCCTTGGCCTCCCAAAGTGCTGGGATTACAGGCGTGAGCCATCATGCCCAGCATGCTTTTTCTCTTTTTAAAAAGTAGAGACAGGGTCTTGGTTTGTTGCCCAGGTTGGTCTTGAACTCCTGGGCTCAAGCAATTCTCCTGCCTCGTCCTTCCAGAGTATTGGGATTATAGCTATAAGCCACTGTACCTGGCCCAAAATGCTTTCAAAAACAATTAAAAATGCAGGATATTAGAAAAAAACTTACAGCATCAAAGAGCTGACAAGATAGTAACAGAACATTTTGGGAAAAAAGAAACCATTCTAAGAAAAGCACAGAAGACCCCCTCTGCCCTATGGACATTTGCTGATCTTAGAAAACCTGGGCTGACGGCCGTGTGTGGTGGCTCATGTCTGTAACCCCAGCACTTTGGGAGGCCGAGGCGGGCAGATCACCTGAGGGCGGGAGTTCGAGACCAGCCTGACCAAGACGGAGAAACCCTGTCTCTACTAAAAATACAAAATTAGCTGGGCATGGTGGCGCATCCCTGTACATCCCAGCTACTCGGGAGGCTGAGGCAGGAAAATCGCCTGAACCCGGGAGGCAGAGGTTCCGGTGAGCCAAGATTGTGCCATTGCACTCCAGCCTGTGCAACAAGAGCAAGACTCAGTCTAAAAAAAAAGAAAACAATTCTTTTAAAAACCTCATCAGCTCATCAGCGCCTGTAGTCCCAGCTAATCAGGAGGCTGAGACAGAAGGATTGCTTGAACCCAGGAGGCGGAGGTGGCAGTGAGCCAAGATCACATCACTGCACTACAGCCTGAGTGATACAATGAGACTCTGTCTCTAAATAAATAAATAAAAATGAAAATCTCATCAGACATTAAAATGTCCAGCTTGAACTTAAAAGTGCCAGTGAAAACTAACACTGTTCTTCAACCCACCTCCCCTCCTGAGAGGAAGCTACTGCTATGTTGCTTGTGTATCCTTCTGGAAAGAACTTGAGGCATACATAGGCATATATAAATGTATTACTAGCCACTCTGTAAAAACCTTACTTGTATTTTTTGTAATATACAAACCATCCAAACGTTAATCAATGGGAGAATGGATAAACTGCAGTACAATAACAACAGCAGATGCTGGACTATCACAGAACAATAAACATGAAGGAATCACTGCTACACACAATGGACGGTGACTCACTCAATTATAACGTTGAGCAAAAGAAGCCAGACTTAAAGAGTACATACTGTGTAATTCCATTATATAAAGTTCACAAACAGGCAGCACTAATCCAAGATGTTAGACATCAGGACAGGACAGGCGCAGTGGCTCACACCAGTAATCCCAGCATTTTGGGAGGCCAAGGTAGGAGGATCACTTGAAACTAGCCTGGGCAACAAAGTGAGACCCTGTTTCTATAAAGTAAAAACTTAAAATCGGCTGGGAACAGTGGCACATATCAGAGTTCGAGACCAGGCTGGGCAACATGGCCAAACCCCATCTCTACTAAAAATACCAAAAATTAGCCAGTCGTGGTGACGTGCGCCTGTAATCTCAGCTACTTGGGAGGATGAGGTAGGACAATCACCTGAACCCAGGAAGTTGAGGCTGCAGTGAGCTGAGATCACACCACTGCACTCCAGCCTGGGCAACCAGAGTGAGACCTTGTCTCAAAAAAGAGAGCCGGATGCAGTGGCTCACGCCTGTAATCTCAGCACTTTGGTAGGCCGAGGTGGGTGGATCACGAGGTCAGGAGATTGAGACCATCCTGGCTAACACAGTGAAACCCCGTCTCTACTAAAAAATACAAAAAATTAGCCAGGTGTGGTGGCGGGTGTCTGTAGTCCCAGCTACTCGGGAGGCTGAGGCAGGAGAATGGCGTGAACCTGGGAGGTGAAGCTTACAGTGAGCTGAGATCGCGCCACTGCACTCCAGCCTAGGCGACAGAGCGAGACATCTCAAAATAAAATAAAATAAAATAAAAATAAAATAATACCGGGCGCGATGGCTCACGCCTGTAATCCTAGCACTCTGGGAGGCCGAGGCGGGCGGATCACAAGGTCAGGAGTTGGAGACCAGTCTGGTCAACATAGTGAAACCCTGTCTCTACTAAAAATACACAAAATATTAGCTGGGTGTGGTGGTGTGAGCCTGTAATCCCAGCTACTCAGGAGGCTGAGGCAAGAGAATCGCATGAACCCGGGAGGCAGAGGTTGCAGTGAGCCAAGATCGTGCCACTGCACTCCAGCCTGGACGACAGAATGACACTCCATCTCAAAAAAAAAAAAAAAGCTTTGTGCAGTGGCAGTATGGCCAATGAGGGTTATGTGAGGTGTGATTATTGCTAACTAAAAATAAAAAAATAAAGAAGGCAGCAGGACAATGGCTTCCCACTTGTAAAGTACTCCAACAGTATACAAAGCACCATCCCCCTTTCTCCAATCTCATCTTCACAGCCTCCTTTCTCAGGCTACTCGGGCATACTACAACTGTCCCTTAAACTTATTGGCCTCACTCCTCTTCGGGGCCTTTGCTCTAACTGTTCCTCTGCCTGGAAGGCTCTTCCTCCAGATATCTGGTGAGCTATTTTTTTTTTTTTTGAGACGGAGTGTCGCTCTGTTGCCAGGCTACAGTGCAGTGCAGCGATCTCAGCTCACTGCAACCTCCGCCTCCTGGGTTCAAGTGATTCTCCTGCCTCAGCCTCCCGGGTAGCTGGGACTACAGGTATGCGCCACCATGCCCAGCTAATTTATTTTTAGTAGAGATGGGGTTTCACCATGTTGGCTAGGATGGTCTTGATCTCTTGACCCCATGATCTGTCCATCTCGGCCTCCCAAAGTGCTGGGATTACAGGCATGAGCCACCGTGTCCAGCCTTTGGTGAGCTATTAAGAACTCTCCACCAGATGGATCGCTTCAGGTCAGGAGTTTGAGACTAGCCTGGCCAACATGGCAAAACCCTGTCTCTACTAAAAATACAAAAATTAGCCAGGTGTGGTGGCGGCCTCTTATAATTCCAGCTACTCAGGATGCTGAGGCAGGAGAATTGCTTGAACCTGGGAGGCGGAGGTTGCAGGGAGCCGAGATTGCACCACTGCACTCTAGCCTGGGCGACAGACCAAGACTGTCAAAAAAAAAAAAAAAAAAACCAAAACACTACTCCCTCACCTCCTTCAAGTCTTAGCTTAGCTTAAACTTCACTTTCTCAACAAAGCCTGTCTGAACACCGTATTTAACATTGCAACCTGTGCTTCCCACCACCTCTGCCTTCCTTTACTCTGCAGTGCTTGGCAACTTCTTACTACATAGTTTGTTTAATTATAACATCTATTGTTTAATTATAACATCTATTGTTGGTAATCCCAGCACTTTGGGAGGCCAAGGCTGGCTGATCACCTGAGGTTGGGAGTTTGACACCAGACTGACCAACATGGAGAAACCCCATTTCTACGAAAAATACAAAATTAGCTGGGCATGGTAACACATGCCGGTAATCCCAGCTACTCAGGAGGCTGAGGCAGGAGAATGGCTTGAACCTGGGAGGCGGAGGTTGCGGTGAGCCGAGATCGTGCCATCACATTCTAGCCTGGGCAACGAGAGCGAAATTCCATCTCAAAAAAAAAACCAAAACAAAACCATCTATTGTTTATCTCTTGTGTTTTTTTTTTTTTTTTTTTAATAGAGAAAAGGTCTCACTACGTTGCCCAGGCTGGTCTTGAACTCCTGGGCTAGAGTGATCCTCCCACCCCAGCCTCCCCTAAAGTACTAGTATTACTGGCATGAGCCACCACACCTGGCACCTTGTGGCAGCACCACAAGGCCAGGAATCTTTTTGTTCCCCGATATACTTCATGTGCCCACAATAGTGAATGAAAGATACTGAACACTTAATACAAGACCCCAAGCCCAGGGGACAGGCATACCTTATCAATGTAGAAGTCAACCTCTGAGGCTGACTGAAATTCACCATCCAGGGCTGAGATACCGCTGGTCCACACGAGGTTCTTCATCTTGTGTTTGAAGACAAGAAGCTGGATCCGGAACTCCTGCTCTGTGAGGTCCAGGAAGCCAGCCAGCTTGGCCACAGGCATGGTGGTGTAGAGCTTCAGGAAGCTGCGGATGGTTGAAAGCTGGGCCTGCTGCTGTACTTCATCAGAAAACACCTTCAGCTGCTGCAGGAAGGGCTCTTTGTGGTAGTTGGGGTGCACATTATCATAGTTGGGCACTACAGGCGACAGGAACTTGGGGCAGGAGTAACTGAAAAGTTCTTCATAGACTTGTGGGTCACCTTTCTGCATGCGCAACATCTTGTCCCCATATTTCTCCCGCAGCTGGAGGTGAATGCTCTCATCAATACGCATGGGGTACATCGTGAGGGCAATGGCCAGCAGCGCATGCATCTGCTCATTCTGCTTGTTAATCTGGGGATGGGGTGGAGAGTGGTACTGGGTCAAATGAGACGGACTTCCTGAGGTCCCCACTGCCAACTGGCCTCACCATTCTCTGCACAGATCTTTGACTTACCCAGTTGTTTCATACCAGCCATTGAACTTCCCCAACATCTCTTCCAATCCTCCCTCTAGATCTACCTAACTTCCATCCTAGCTCCAGATCCTCCTTAGCCATCTTCTGGATTCCTTACTGGCACCTCTGTCTTAGTCTCTCCAGTTTGTCCCACACATCACTAGCAGGTCAATCCTTTTACACAGTTAGGATCGAGTTACCCAAAACCTTTGATGCAACCTTGATGACGACAGAAATATAGACTAAATAGTAATGTGCCGTGCAACAGCGTTTCAGTCAACAACGGGCCATGGGCCACATATAGGATGGTGATCCTGCAAGATTATAATCCTGTATTTTTACTGTATCTTAGATACACAAATACCTTTGTGTTACAACTGCCTATGGTATTCAGTACAGTAATATGTTCTAGACGTTTGTAGCCAAGGAGCCATAGGCTATACCATGTAGCCCGGGTATGTAGTAGGTTATCCCATCTAGGTTTGTGTAAGTACATTCTATGATGTTCACACAACAAAATCACCAAATGATGCATTTCTCAGAATGTATCTGCAGCATCAAATGACACAGGACTATACTTTACCTGGGTTAATGAAGGTTCTCAGAATCTAATAACCCAATTCCTACTACCTACTTGCCCTCCAGCCAGAACAGTTTATTGTGCGGCTGCATCACCACACTTTCAAGTCTCAACCACTTTGCTCATGATATTCTCTGCCTAGGAAGCTCCTCCCAATTCTTGAACCCATCCTCCTTCCCACCAATATCCACACCTTATATCAAAACATTTAGAACCCAGTGAACACTCAGCATACTGATGCTGAATAAATAAATGTAGGCACTGCTGGAGGATATAACTGAAACAAAAGATATTATCATCAAGTCCTTATCATCAAGATGTTAATGATCTGAGGTAACAGGCATCACAACAGAAACTCCTAAGAGTATGCTAGCCATTAAAAGTTCATTTTGGCTGGGCGTGGTGGCTCACGCCTGTAATCCCAGCACTTTGGGAGGCTGAGGTGGATGGATCGCCTGAGGTCAGGAGTTCGAGACCAGCCTGGCCAAATAGTGAAACCCCATCTCTACTAAAAATACAAAAATTAGCTGGACATGGTGGCACGCGTCTGTAGTCCCAGCTACTCAGGAGGCTAAGGCTGGAGAATCACTTGAACCCAGGAAGCGGAGGTTGCAGTGAGCTGAGATTGCACCACTGTACTCCAGCCTGGGTGACAGAGACTTCGTCTCAAAAAAAAAAAAAAAAAAAAAAAAAAATTAGCCGGTGTTGTTGTGTGCGCCTTTAAGCCCAGCTATTCGGAAGACTAAGGTAGGATGATCGCCTGATCCCAGGAGGTTGAGGCTGACGTGAGCTGTGACTGCGTCACTGCACTCCAGCTGGGTGATCTATTAGTAGGCACAATCACAGAGCGCTCTACAGTCTTGAACTCCTGGCTTAAAAGTGCAATATTTTGGATGGTGTTTACCAAGAATGGTTGGCATAGGTGCCAAGGATCCCCCTGATTAGAAAGGCCACTGGTGGCAGGCAGAGTCCCCCTTACCATCTCATACTTGTACGTGGTCCTCTGGAACATGCTCTTGGTCCTCTGGATGTAGAGGAGGATGTTGGCGAAGACCCGGATGGCATCCTGGTAACGACGCATCATCAAATATGCAAACCCAACATAATAGTATGTGGTGACCTGGCACTCTGGCACACGGGAATACATACTCTGTAGAAGGAGGTAGAACAAACATTCATGAGTCCCAATTCATCCTAGATAGAACCAGAGGTAGAAACACCAAGAGTTTTCCCTGCAGAGGCCCTCAACTATCCAGAGGAAGCTCTGGAGTCCCAGAGTTTGAGAGCGGATCTTCCTATTCATCAATTAAGTTGTATGTTTTGAGGAATCCATTTTTTTAGCTGTAAACAAGAAGGTTCTGGATCAGGTAATCCCTAAAATCTCCTTCAGCTCTAAAATGCTATACATCTCAGTTTTGTTATTTTTCCTTGCTTTTTCAATTAAGTCCTTTTGGACAGGGAAGACAGAAACACATACATGCACATGAGCCAAACACCAAATAAAAATTATCTGTAATATTTTTCTGTGGTTAGGAAGAACACAACAGCTAACCATGTATCAATGAACATACCATCTTAGAATTACATCTTTACTTAATTCTTTTTTTTTTTCTGGGACAGAGTCTTGTTCTGTTGCCCAGGCTGGAGTGCAATGGTGTGATCTCGGCTCACTGCAACCTCTGCCTCCCAGGTTCAAGTGATTCTCCTACCTCAGCCTCCTGAGTAGCTGGGATTACAAGTGCCCACCACCATACCCAGCTAGTTTTTTTTTTTTTTGTATTTTCAACAGAGACAGGGTTTCACCATGTTGGCCAGGCTGGTCTCGAACTCCTGACCTCAAGTAATCCACCTGCCTCAGCCTCCCAAACTGCTGGGATTACAGGTGTGAGCCACTGCGTCTGGCCTTCTCAATCCTTTAGCAAAATGTGAAGAGCAAAGAGCTGCCATGGGCCAGGCATGGTGGCTCACGCCTGTAATCCCAGCATTTTGGGAGGCCGAGGTAGGCGGATCACGAGGTCAGGAGATCGAGACCATCTTGGCCAACACGGTGAAACCCCAACTCTACTAAAATACAAAAAAAAAAAAAAAAAAAAAATTAGCTGGGCATGGTGGCGCATGCCTGTAGTCCCAGCTACTCAGGAGGCTGAGGCAGGGGAATCGCTTGAACCCAGGAGACGGAGGTTGCAATGAGCTGAGATCACACCACTGCACTCCAGCCTGGTGACAGAGCAAGCTGCCATCATCATTCCATTTTGAAAACAAAATAAAAAACTGTTGTTAACTACCAAAATCGTCCAGGTCTAGCTTTTTACCACAGCTGTTTGCCCAGTTTTAGTCTCAACTTTCAATGGCCTGAGGGAACAGTCCTCTTTCCTCTCCTGGAAATTTGTCCTAAGAGATCAGAGTGGTTCTCTAGAAATAGATATTCTGGCTCTGGCAAGAGGGGCCAGAGGCAATAGGCATCACCTTCTTGTTCAGTTCGATGTTCTCCAGCACCTTGATGGCCTGGTAGTAATCTCCTAACAGGGAGTGCAGGCGGAGAAGCCCGACCAGGCTGAAGTAACCAAGCATTTTGTAGAGGGAGTGCCGCCCATACTCCCCAGCCACACTCTCAGGGTCACCTGAAAGAGACAGACACCGTGAATACTGATAGGAGGCAGGTAAAGGCAGGCACACCTGACCTCTGAATGTTACTCAGTAGGCATCTCACCTACTGCCAGCCTTGAAAGCTTCCCTCAACAACTGGGGAATAACTTCAAAGGAATACCAAGAAACAGCAAAACCAATCTTATGCTAATCTTCGATTTACCAATATTTGCTTACAGGATGGCAGTTCATTTTGCTTATTTTTTTTTTGGTCCCAACACATGCAAAGGCCCCTCTCATCAGTAAAATACAACCACGAAGACTCCTCCTTTCAGAAAGCACATGAGGTCAAAGCTATTTTCCTAATAACAACACTAAGATGTTACTTGCCCTTCCCACTGAGTTGAATTTTGCATGATGCAAACACTATGTTGGGTAAAATTACTGTCAACTTAAGCATAAATCAGGCAACGACACAAAATTGTACCAGTAGTCACTGCATTGCTTCTTGCCATGCATTTGCACTAAAAGAACTAGTCCTTAGCCAGGCTTGGTGGCTTAGACCTCTAATCCCAGCAACTTGAGAGGCCGAGATGGGAGGATGTGCTTGAGCCCAGGTACCATATCTGAATAACCAGAGATTGTTGTATCAGTTGTTTTTTGTTTGTTTGTTTGTTTTTTGAGACTGAGATCTATGGAAGTGCTACTGCATTTTGGCCTGGGTAACAGAGAGACCCTGTTCTAAAAAAAAGACAAAAAAAAGAAAGAAAATTCTTTTTTCATTTTTACTTGAAAAAAACAACTGATACATAGGTCGGGAGCGGTGGCTCACGCCTGTAATCCCAGCACTTTGGGAGGCTGAGGTGGGCAGATCACGAGGTCAGGAGATCGAGACCATCCTGGCTAGGTGAAACCCCGTCTCTACTAAAAATACAAAAAATTAGCCGGGCATGGTGGTGGGCGCCTGTAGCCCAGCTACTTGGGAGGCTGAGGCAGGAGAATGGCATGAACCCGGGAGGCGGAGCTTGCAGTGAGCCCAGATTGCGCCACTGCACTCCAGCCTGGGCAACAGAGCGAGACTCCACCTCAAAAAAAAAAAAACAAAAAAAACTGATACGCAACTGAGCGCAGCTCATGCCTGTAATCCTAGCATTTTGGGAGGCCGAGGCGGACGTATCACTTGAGGTCAGGAGTTTGAGCCCAGCCTGCCCAACATGGTGAAGCCCCGTCTCTACTAAAAATACAAAAATTAGATGGGTGTGGTGGTGCACACCTGCAGTCCCAGCTATTGGGGAGGCTGAGGCAGGAGAATTGCTTGAACTTGGGAGGCGGAGGTTGCAGTGAGCAGAGATTGTGCCACTGCACTCAAGCCTGGGCTACAGAGCAAGACTCTGTCTCAAAAAAAATAAAAATAAAAAAAGAAGGAAAAAAGGGCAGACATTTTCACAAAAATGAAGTAAACCTGTCATACCTCAAAGAAAATAACTGACAGTGTTTGCTACCTATAAAACAGTTCAAAGGTTGGGCACAGTGGCTCACACATGAAATCCCATGAGTTCAAGATTGGCCTGGGCAACAAAGTGAGACCTTGTTTCTACCAAAAAAAAAAGAAAAAAAAATCAGCCAGGTATGGTGGTGCAAACCTGCGTTCCTAGCTACTTGGGAGGCTGAGGTAGGAGGATCACTTGAGCCCAGCAGGTAGAGGATGCAGTGAGCCATGATTGTGCCACCGCACTTCAGCCAGGGTGACAGAGTGAGACCCCATCTCAAAATAAATAAAAATTCAAGCTATTAAGCAAAAATGGAATTTTGTAAAACTTGTATCTGCCACTACAAGCTCTATAGCTTACAAATAAATGCTTACCTGATGTCAGTGGCAAAAGTAACAAATCTGACTTTTTAAAAAAATGTAATAAAATGTGTCAACATTTGGAAGATCTTTATAACTCAGAGAACCAATATTTTTTTAGAAATCACACATGGCCAGGCGCAGTGGCTCATGCATGTAACCCCAGCACTTTGGGAGGCCGAGGCAGGCAGATCACTTGAGCTCGGGAGTTCAAGAGCAGCCTGGCCAACATGGTCAAACTCTGTTCTACTAAAAATACAAAAATCAGCCCGGCGTGGTGGCGTGTGCCTGTAATCCTTCCTTTCTATATCCCTGGAGGCTGAGACAGGAGAATCGCTTGAACCCCGGAGGCAGAGGATGCAGTGAACTGAGATCATGACATTGCACTCTGCCTGAGCAACAGAGCAGATTCTGTCTCAGGAAAAAAAAAAAAGTCACACATGGATGTAAGGAACTCATTCAAATTACAGAAGTGACGAATAACGTTAACAAAAGAAAAATTCACCAATACAGTTTCAGATTCCTCACTGCACCTAATCTGTATGAAACTACCACTGGTTACTTCAAAGAAGTACAGGGTGAGTATACTTCTATAAATGCTTGTGATCAGAAGTGTTTTGGATTTTGCAATTTTTAATATCTGCATATGCCTAATGAGATATCTTTTTTTTTTTTTTTTTTTTCCCCGAGACAGAGTCTCGCTCTGTCACTAAGACTGTAGTGCAGTGGTGCGATCTCGGCTCACTGCAACCTCTGCCTCCCTGGTTCAAATGATTCTCCTGCCTCAGCCTCCCAAGTAGATGGGATTACAGGTGCCCACCACCAGGCCCGGCTAATTTTTTGTATTTTTAGTAGAGATGAGGTTTCACCATGTTGGCCAGGATGGTCTTGAACTCCTGACCTCAGGTGATCTGCCCGCCTCAGCCTCCCAAAATGCCAGGATAATAGGCGTGAGCCATGGCACCCGGCCCTAATGAGTATCTTAAGGATAGGATCCAAATCTAAACATAAAATTCATTTATTTTTCATATATGTCTTATACACACAGCCTGAAAGTAACTTTATTATAATCTTTTAAATACTTTTGTGCATGAGACGAAGTTCTGACTGCAACTGCTCATATGAGGTTGGGTGTAGAATTTTCTACTTACGGCGTCATGTTGGTGCTCAAAAAGTCAGATTTTGGAGCATTTCAGATTTCAAATTTTCAAGTCAGGAATATTCAACCCATACATACTACTACATGGTGTAGTATCAAAGAAAATCCTCTCCAATAATCCTGGCACTTTTGGGAGGCCAAGGCAGGACTGCTTGAGCCCAGGAGTCCAAGACCAGACTGGGTGACACAGCGACACCCTGTCTCAAAAACAAACAACAAAAAAACTTCCTATAACCGTGTGAAGCCAGATTTTCCTTCTTTTTTTTTTTCAGACAAGTTCTCGCTCTGTGGCCCAGGCTAGAGTACAGTGGTGTGATCTCAGTTCACTGCAATCTTTGCTTCCTGGGCTCAAGCAATCCTCCCACCTCAGCCTCCCGAGTAGCTGGGACTACAGGGGCACCCCACCCACCATGCTCAGTCAATTTAAACATTTTTTTTGAGACAAAGTCTCACTATATTGCCCAGGCTGGTCTCAAACTCCTGGACTCAAGCGATCCTTCTGCCTAAGCCTCCCAAAGTGCTGGGATTACAGGTGTGAGCCACAGTGCCTGGGCCAGATTTTCTTTATGTGCTTCAAACAAAAGAACACATTGCAACAGATTGAATGCAGAAGCAGAAATGAGAAGCCAGCTATCTCAGCCAGACAGAGAGATCTGCAAAAATGCCACTCTTCACTGAAAAAAAAAGAAAAAAATTTTTTAAAATAGATACATTTTGTGGTTCTCAATATTTTAACAGGGTAAAGTGGCTCTGACACCAACACGTGTGAGAAGTGCTTATCTAAACAAAAGCACTGGAGACACAGAAGTGTTTACAAACGCAAATCTCAATGTGCTGGTTCAGTCTGTTGGCCAATGGACTCCCAAGCCCCAGAGCCCCCAGCACAAATACTCTGCTACTGTTTGTACTCAAGCACCTACAAAGAGTCAACAGACCACCACCTAAGACATGGTGACTCATCTGCTCTCCTTGCAGTGATCTATTCATTTGGAACAGATGGCAAGCAGCTGGAAATTCGCAGGCCACGGCTGTCGGCCTGCTGCACTCACCTCCGCTTGTGTATACCTCCAACTGTCGGTTGATGTTGGATTTGTCTACCAGGGAATGAAGGACATTGAGGACACTATGAACATTCCAGATTTTGGGATTGGAACGAAGAAAGTCAATCTCCTCCTCTGACTTCTTGGCAGTCTTACAGCGGTACTGACTGAATGACTGAAACTGTTGAGGAAGAAAAGAAACATGCAGTAGTGGTATAAGCCCAAAGTGATCATCCATGTCCACAATGCTGAAAACGAGGCAATGCTCTGGCTCTGGATGGGGCAAGGTGAGGGTGAGATGACCACTTCTCATTCTAAACCATTCCGTACACTGTTTTTCAAAGCCATCTTGACTAAACTGTGAATTCTGTTCATTACTGAATGTTACTTACTACACAGTGAAGTAAAAATCTCTAGGATTAGAGGTAGTCTGTGGTAAAAACATCCAATCTGGAGTCAAACACAACCCAAAGTCACTTCCTGTCTCTGGGCCTCACAATGCAGTTGACCGGGCCACCAGAAACACCACAGGGGCTCTTGTACCATCTATTCAGATGCAGCTAGACTGTGGTACGCCCTGGGTTATGGGCAGTGATGTGGTAATAGGTATCTGCACGTGTGAGCCTTCCCTACCACAGCTGACCATCAGTTCCCAGACTATGTCACCTCTCTACCACTCTCAACCAGAGTCGTCTGGCCAAGCACAACGAACACAGAGAAGATATGCCACAGGAATCTGTTTGGGACAGAAGTAGAACCTGGAAGCACTCCTGGCCTGGCTCCAGCAGTCACACAGATGGAACACAACAGACCTACCTACTCAATTTTTTAAAGTTCTCTGGTTGAATCTGGTGTGCATCAGGTTTGGAAATCACAGACCTAAAACCTAGGTCTTAGAAGATCTAAGACTGTTCTTCAACTCTTCCAGCAGAGATCAGAGGCTCACCCCTGTAAACCCAGCACTTTGGGAAACTGAGGTGGGCAGATCACTTGGGTCCAGGAGCTCAAGACCAGCCTGGGAAACATGGCAAAACCCTATCGCTATAAAAAACACAAACGAATTAGCCAGGAATGGTGGCAGGCACCTGCAGTCTCCGCTACTAAGGAGGCTGAGGTACGGGCTTTGCCTGAGCCCAGGAGGCGGAGGCTACAGTGAGGTGAGGTTGTGCCACTGCATTCCAGTGTGAGTGACAGAGTAAAACTCTGTCTCAAAACACAAAAAATTATCTTCTTCTAGACTGTGGGACAAAATGCTAATTTTGTAATATAAAAACAAAGAATATGCCAGGCACGGTGGCTCACGCCTATAATCCCAGCACTTTGGGAAGCCAAGGTGGATGGATCATGAGATCAAGAGTTCGAGAACAGCTTGGCCAACATGGTGAAACCCCATCTCTACTAAAAATACAAAAACAGGCCGGGTGCGGTGGCTCATGCCTGTAATCCCAGCACTTTGGGAGGCCGATGCAGGCGGATTACCTGAGGTCGGGAGTTTGACACCAGCCTGACCAACATGGAGAAACCCCATCTGTACAAAAAATGCAAAACTAGCCAGGTACAGTGATACATGCCTGTAATCCCAGCTACTCGGGAGGCTGAGGCAGGTGAATCGCTTGAACCTGGGAGGCAGAGGTTGCGGTGAGCCAAGATCGCACCATTGCACTCCAGCCTGGGCAACAAGAGCAAAACTCCGTCTCAAAAAAAAAAAAAAAAAAAAAAAAAGCACCAAAACAAAAATAGCCAGGTGTGGTGGCACATGCCTGTAATCCCAGCTACTCGGGAGGCTGAGGCAGGAGAATCCCTTGAACCTGGGAGGCAGAGGTTGCAGTGAGCTGAGATCACGCCACTGCACTCCAGCCTAGGTGACAGAGCAAGACTCCGCCTTAGGGGGGAAAAAAAAAGAATATCCAGAATATATAAAGAATTCTCAGGCTGGGTGCGGTGGCGCTTACACCTGTTATCCAAGCACTTTGGGAGGCCGAGATGGGTGGATCCCTTGAGGTCAGGAGTTCAAAACCAGCCTGGCCAACATGGTGAAACCCCGTCTCTACTAAAAATGCAAAAAAAAAAAAAAAATTAGCAGGGCGTGGTGGTGCACACCTGTAATCCAGATACTTGGGAAGCTGAGGCAGGAAAATCGCTTGAACACAGGAGGTGGAGACTGCAGTGAGCAGAGATCATGCCACTGCACTCCAGCCTGGGCGAAAGAGCGAGACTCTGTCTCAAAAAAAAAAAAAAAAAAAAAATCCTACAAAGAATTCTCGTAATGCAATTAAAAAAGCAATCAAATAGAAAACAGGCAAAGAATAGTGATGATCACTTCAAAGAAAACAAAATTGACAATTAATATGGGAAATCAGAAAAGTATGATTTTTTTTTCTTTTTCTTTTTTTTTTTTTTTTGAGATGGAGTCTCGCTCTGTCTCCGAGGCTGGAGTGCAGTGGTGCAATCTCGGCTCTCTGCAAGCTCCGCCTCCTGGGTTCACGCCATTCTCCTGCCTCAGCCTCCTGAGTAGCTGGGACTACAGGCGCCCACCACCATGCCTGGCAAATTTTTTTGTATTTTTAGTAGAGACGGGGTTTCACCGTGTTAGCCAGGATGGTCTCAATCTCTTGACCTCATGATCCGCCTGCCTCGGCCTCCCAAAGTGCTGGGATTACAGGTGTGAACCACCGCGCTGATTTTTTTTTTTTTTTTTTTGAGACGGAATCTCACTCTACTGCCCAGGGTGGAGTGCGGTGGTGTGATCTCAGCTCACTGCAACCTCTGCCTCTCGGTTCAAGTGATTCTCATCCCTCAGCTGCTGAGTAGCTGGGATTACAGACATGCACCACCAAGTCTGGGTAATTTTTGTATTTTTAGTAGAGACGGGGTTTCACCATGTTGGCCAGGCTGGTCTCGAACTCCTGGCCTCAAGTGATCTGCCCGCCTTGGCCTCCCAGAGTGCTAAGATTACAGGCGTGAGCCACTGCGCCCGGCCAGAATTTCTTTCCCATTGAACTGACAAAAATTAGACAGACTGATAATATCCAGTACAGAAAACAGTTGGTCTTGGCTAGGCATGGTGGCTCACGCCTGTAATCCCAGCACTTTTGGAGGCTGAGCAGGGAGAATTGCTTTATCCCAGGATTTCAAGACCCCATCTCTGCAACAAATTAAAAATCAGCTGGGTGCACCTGTAGTCCGAGCTACTCAGGAGGCTAAGGTGGGGGGATTGCTTGAGCCCAGGAGGTCAAGGCTGCAATGAGCTATGATCACACCACTGCACTCCAGCCTGGACCATAAAGGCAAGACCCCCATCTCTTAAACAAAGAAACAAAAAAACCAACAGTTGCTCTCAAACACCGCTGGTAGTAACACAATTTGATACAGCCCATTGGTGGGACAATATATTACTATTTATTATAATTCAAAGTGATTGAAACGTTCTTTTATCTTGATTGTGGCACTGTACACATTTGTTGAATCTCATCCACTGTACACTGATTCTGGTACATTTTATTGTATATTAAACTACACCTCATGGCTGGGCATGGTGGTTCACACCTGTTTTTTGTTTTTTGTTTTTTTTGAGACAGAGTCTTGCTTTGTCACCCAGGCTGGAGTGCAGTGGCGCAATCTCAGCTCACTGCAACCTCCACCTCCCAGGTTCAAGCGATTCTCCTGCCTCAGCCTCCTAAATAGCTGGGATTACAGGTACCTGCCACCACGCCCGGCTGATTTTTTTGTATTTTTAGTAGAGACGGGGTTTCACCATGTTGGTCAGGCTGGTCTCGAACTCCTGACCTCGTGATCCACCCGCCTTGGCTTCCCAAAGAGCTGGGATTAACAGGCGCGAGCTGGTGGCTCATCTCTACTTAAAAAAATAAACTATACCTCAGTAAGCTGATTTAAAAAAACTTAAAAAGCAAGTATCGTTCAATCCACAATTCTACTTCTAGGTAGTGATCCCTAAAAATATGCCTGTGTACAACATATATATGGATATTCACTGATTCACTGCCTGTAATTGTGGAAACTGACAACCCAAAGGTTCATCATCAGAGGCATGGTATATCCATATCACGCACACTGCAGCAAAAGAGCAAGTCAGGTCTATGAAAATATGGTTTAAGTGTGTTAACAAGTCACAGTAAATGGCACAATAGAGTACGTAACCATTTTTGAAGTGATCTCTCTTTATACAGTCATGTTTATGTAAGTGCCTGAGAAACATCAACAAGGTGCCTTTCCTTCCAGACAGTAATTGATACCTCTGCAAAAGCAAGCAAGGCAGGCACTTTCACTATATCTGTAGTTTGAAAAAACAAAAACAAATAAATAAAACAGGGTGGCGAGGAAGAGCCACCTACCCCATGTGGCATCTACCTGGCCAGGACGAAATACACCAGCCACTTACTGACCCTCACTGGACAGTCTTTGTTAGAAAGCACCGTAAGCCCCTTAACAACAACACTGGCTAAGCCCAGGGAATTATGATTATCTTAAGAGGGATAAAGAAAATCAGCACGGATGATCCTTCTTCACTTGCTCTAAGTCAAAAAGACTGCTATTCATCTATAAATATTCCAAATAAAAGGATGACACAAGCCAAGGAGCCAGAGGGCAAACAAGGCCAGTACGGTTTGTGGCCTTTGCTATGAAAGGCACTGAAGCCTAATCTTGAGCAGGAAGCCTCCTTCTCAAGGAGCACTATGAAGGTTTCTCAGCTCACCACTCGTAACGGTTCAGCACTTTGTATACACAACGTCTCCCTGGTTCACGGAGTTCTAATAACATCTTTATTAAGATACCAATTTATCCTGAAATAATCAGTTAGAGCTATAGACAGCACAAAAAGGGGGAAAAGAATTATATTTTGTCAAATTATATATTTTATTTTTTTTGGTTTTTTTTTTGAGACAGAGTCTCACTCTGTCGCCAGGCTGGAGTGCAGTGGCACGATTTTGGCTCACTGCAAGCTCTGCCTCTCGGGTTCGAGCGATTCCCCTGCCTCAGCCTCCCGAGTAGCTAGGATTACAAGCGCACACCACCACGCCCAGCTGTTTTTTTTTTAGTAGAGATGGGGTTTCACCATTGTGGCCAGGATGGTCTCCATCTCCAGACCTCGTGATCTGCCCACCTAGGCCTCCCAAAGTGTTGGGATTACAGGCGTGAGCCACCACGCCCAGCCTATTTTATGTTTTGTAGTCTCTATTTCTCGAACTCCTGGACTGAAGCGATCCTACTGCCTTGGACCCCAAAAATGCTGGGATTACAGTTGTGAGCAATCTGTATTTTTAAATAGAAGGACTGGGCTAAATAAGATGGAAAAGAATAATGATGACATTGAACATCATCACAATCAACAGGCAACGTGTATTAATTATTCTGTGACAGGCACTATGCTAAACACTCTATACGTAGTATCTCAGCAACATTCGCAGCAATCCGTTTTAGAGATGGGGAAACCAATGCACAGTGTGGTTAAGTAATGTGCCCACAACAGAACATGTTACCATTTTAAAATGGGCCAGTAGGCCAGGCGCGGTGGCTCACACCTGTAATCCCAGCACTTTGGGAGGCCAAGGAGGGCGGATCACCTGAAGTTGGGAGTTCGAGACCAGCCTGGTCAACATGGAGAAACCCCGTCTCTACTAAAAATACAAAAATTAGCTGGGCGTGGTGGTGGGCACCTGTAATCCCAGCTACTGGGGAGGCTGAGACAAGAGAATCGCTTGAACCCGGGAGGCAGAGGTTGCAGTGAGCCGGGATAATGCCACTGCACTCCAGCCTGGGTAACAGAGTCAGACTCCATCTCCAAAAAAAAAAAAAAAGCCAGTAAACAGCAACAGCAAAACCTGGACTTTTACCCCCAGGCTACACAGCTGCTGTACTTTATTTGCATTTGGCACAGTTCTCATTCGACCTTGAACAGCAACTCCTGAGGTAGGTGATATTCTTGTTGTGATGAAAATGTTCTATTGTATTCTGATCGAGCATACACTTAAGTAACCACCACCACAATCAAGATATAGATGGCTAGGCATGGTGGCTCACTTTGGGAGGCCAAGTCAAGAGGCTCACTTGAGGCCAGGAGTTCAACACCAGCATGGGCAACACAGCAAGACCCTCGTCTCTACAGTAATATAAATATCCACGTAAGTTGGTGTGGGCCTTGTAGTGGCAGCTACTCAGGTGGCTGAGGTGGGAAAATCACTTGAACCCAGGAGTTCTAGGCTGCAGTAAGCTATTATCACTGCACTCTAGCCTGAGCAACAGAGTGAGACCCTGACTCTTTCTTTTTTTTTTTTGAGATGGAGTCTTGCACTGTTACCAGGCTGGAGTGCAGTGGCACGATCTTGGCTCACTGCAAGCTCCGCCTCCTAGGTTCACGCCATTCTCCTGCCTCAGCCTACTGAGTAGCTGGGACTACAGGCGCCTGCCACCACGCCCGGCTAATTTTTTGTACTTTCAGTAGAGACGGGGTTTCACCGTGTTAGCCAGGATGGTCTTGATCTCCTGACCTCGTGATCTGCCCGCCTCTGCCTCCCAAAGTGCTAGGATTACAGGCGTGAGTCACCGCGCCCGGCCTGACCCTGACTCTTAAAAAAAAAAAGATAATAGAACATTTCCATTGTGTGGGTAAAGAAAGTGAGGCTCTGAGTTTAAATAGCACATCACTGTTACAGAGCTACCAGCAGGTGGCAGCACCCAAGTTAGAATCCACTTCCACCTCGCTCCAAAGCCTGTGAAGCCTGTGTTCTTACCACCAGACCACCTAACAAGGTCTAGTAAGAGCTTGATGAAGGTCAGGAGCTGAACTTATCCGACTTCCAGCTTCCTATCTGGAGTGCTTAGGCTTCCCTGCCTCTTCCGAAAGCCAGCTGAAACTGGAGTCTACTGCCATGGGGTATTTTACACTACAATGGGGATATTTTTACACCCTGCAGCTTTTTTACACAAACAATAGTAACAGCTATTCCTGGCATGGACCAGTTATTTCAAATTAGGCTGAAGCTGACCAGATACCTGGTAGATGAACTCATCGATAATATCCCAGAGCCACTGGTTGGGTAGTTCAAGGGGAGCAGGACCATCGGCATCTGTGCAGGAGATCACAGAAAAGTCAGATTCAAAGCAATGACTCTGCCCATTCTGTAGGCTGCAGAATGCTTTGTAATTTCTCTCTTAAAAGGACCATGAATCACAAGACCTCCCCTCTTCCCACCTACACATTAAGATCCTGCTAATTTAAAAAAAAAAAAAAAAAAGCTGGAGGCCAATGCTGAACCTCATCATAACCACACACACCCTCTTGGCCAAATCTCAGACTCACTAAGAATGTAGTTGAAGAGATTGCAGTAGTTGTAATAGGATTCAAACCTCTGCTCCAAGGAAGGTCCCCCCTGTAAAGAAAACAAGAGATATCAAGATACAGATATTTAATTTTAATGTGTTTTACCCATGGTATACTGTGACAGCTGTGAACAAATACAAGAGAATTGGTATCTGTCCTCTCTTTCTTACTATGTAAATATGCAAGTGAGAGGGAAGATAGAAAGTCCTATAGCAGCTGACGCACTGAATACTGCAACACGTGGTTAGGTTCTACAGCAACAGACCTTAAATGACCCTCAGAGCAGGGATGATGATCTGGCAAAGCAGAGAGAAGGAAAAGTGTTTCAGAAAAAAACCACACTAGCAAAGGCGAAGAAGTTAAATCGTGGCACTTGAAGGCTAGGGAGTTAAGAGAAGATAATGCTGCACCGGGCATCACTAGACTACGGGCCAGGAATGTTGCAGTCTTCCAACGCCAAACAAGCATCTAGGTCAGGGGGCCTGCAAATCTATTCCGCCACCTGTTTTGTAAATAAAGAAGTTTTACTGGAACACAGCCATGCCCACTCATTACATATTGTTGATAACTGCCACAAAGACATAGCTGAACAGATCTGACAGAAACCATCATGGCCCTCGAGACTAAAATACTTATTATCTGACCCTCCACAGAGAAGGTGGCTGACCCCTGGTCTGGTCTTTATGTTGCTTGCATCTGAGAACCACTGATAGTTTCTGAGCTGGGGAACCATACCATGAGCAATGTATTTGTGATGGAGAAGAAACACAACTTTGGAGTCAGTCCCACCTCTTATTAACTGTGGGGTTCTCACAAGGTATTTAATCTCTGTAAAATGTGGGCAAAAGATTGTTGACTAGTCACAATGAAGTAAGATTATATAGCTGGGCGCAGTGGCTCACGCCTGTAATCTCAACACTCTGGGAGGCTGAAGTGGGCTGATCACCTGAGGCCAGGAGTTTGAGAACAGGCTGGGCAACATGGCAAGACCCCGTCTCTGTTTAATAAAAGTTATGTAAGGTGCTTAATACATTAAGCACAATCTAAGCACATTCAATGAAAAACTGCTTCCCAAGGGCTTAAAACTGGTCATTTATGTAGGAGTCCTGGTAGCTAATAAAAAGATAACAGCATCAATAAGCTTCTGCTGAATCTTCATCTACAGACCAAACAGAGAGATTAGAGGTGGTAAAACCAGCTATACTATGGGCTATGGTGTCATGGTGTTCCCAAAAAAGCAGTGTACACATAATGGCTAGATTCTTAGCATATCCACAAAGTACCTGAACTTTAGCATCAATGGTAGTAGGGAATCTTTACTTTTTTTTTTTTTTGAGACGGAGTCTCGCTCTGGTGCCTAGGCTGGAGTGCAGCGGTGCAATCTCAGCTCACTGCAACCTCTGCCTCCTGGGGTCAAGTGATTCTTCCGTCTCAGCCTCCCGAGTAGCTGGGATTACAGGCACACGCCACCACGCCTGGCTAATTTTTGTATTTTTAGTAGAGACGGGGTTTCACCATATTGGTCAGGCTGGTCTCGAACTCCTGACCTCGTGATCCACCCGCCTTAGCCTCTCAAAGTTCTGGGATTACAGGCGTAAGCCACAGCGCCTGGCCAGGAATCTTTACTTTCTATCAGATAAAGTAGTCAGAGATCCCGCTGGGATGCCGGAAAAACATGGCCCCTTACTCTGGCAGCAAGAACTTTTCCACCTACCACTACTGACAGTGGCTCCTGTGGCCAAGGCAGGAGTTCTAGCCATATCAAGCGGTCCTCAAGGAGAAGAGGGGTGAGTAACTGTGAGAAACTAGGACCTCCTTAGGTGGAGATCTTGGTGCCAATTTCCTTCACTTACACATGCATGCAAGCACACACATGCTCAATTAACACCATTATGACCAGACATTATTCTAGGCACTGGATTATATTGGTGAACAAGACAAGCACATACCCCGGTGGAGTTAACCTTCCAGTAGATTAAGAAACTCCCTCCCCTAAATAAACAAATACAACGTACAAGAGATAAGTGCTCTGAAGTGCCACGAATATTGCCAGGAGCCCAGGGAGGGAGGGGGAAAGTTTCAGGAAATGAGTGAGAAGGGAAACAGGGCTAAAACCTGGAATTAGTAAGTGTGATGGGAAGTCATGGTAGGATTGGAAGTGACCTGATGAAACTATGTAGCAAAAGGATCATGCTGGTTATTATGTTGAGAATAAACAGCCAAGAGTGGAAACTGACACCAGGTAAGCAGCTCCTGCAGTAATTCAGGGAAGAGATGATAATGACTTCAACTAGGTGAGCAGCAGTGTGGCAGTGAAAAGTGGCTGATTCAAGAAGTATGCTGAAGGCCAGGCACAGTGGCTCACGCCTGTAATCTTAGCACTTTGGGAAGCCGAGGCGGGCGGATTACCTGAGGTCAGGAGTTCGAGACCAGCCTGGGCAACATAGCGAAACCCTGTCTCTACTAAAAATACAAAAATTAGCCAGGCGTGGTGGTGCATGCCTGTAATCCCAGCTACTCAGGAGGCTGAGGAAGGAGAATCGTTTGAGCCTGGAGAATTGCTTGAGCCCAGGAGACAGAGGTTGGAGTGAGCCGAGACGGCGCCACTGCATTCCAGCCTGGATGACAGAGCGAGACTCCGTCTCAAAAACAAAACAAAATAAAACAAAACAACAAAAAGAAGTATGTTGAAGACAGAGCTTAACAGGATTTGCTGGATATCATGTCAGAGAAAAGTCAAGAATAATGCCAAGGCTTTTAGTCCAATTAACTTGGTAATAAACGGTAGCATTTATTGAGATGATTACCATGAGAAAAACTAGTTTAGAGGGAAAATAAGAATTCAGTTTTAGATGTGTTAAGCTTCAGATGACTCAGACAGCCAAGTGCAGATGCTGACAGCTGAATATACAAGTCTGGACTTCAGTGGGGCAACTGAGGCTAAAGATAGAGATTAAGTCATTGGTGTATATAAATAATACAGATGGCATTTTTCTTTTCTTTTTGAGACAAGAGTCTCACTCTGTCACCCAGGCTGGAGTGCAGTGGTACGATCTCGGCTCACTGCAACCTCCGCTTCCCGGGTTCAAGCGATTCTCCTGCCTCAGCCTTCCAAGTAGCTGGGATTACAGGCACCCGCCACCACGCCCAGCTTATTTTTGTAGTTTCATATTTTTAATAGAGACGAGGTTTCTCCATGTTGGCCAGGCTGGTCTCAAATTCCTGACCTCAGGTGACCTGCCCTTAGCCTCCCAAAGTGCTGGGATTATAGGCGTGAGCCACCGCGCCCAGCCTTAAATAGTACAGATGGCATTTTAAGAAACTTTAGGCACTCTAGGCCGGGCGTGGTGGCTCACGCCTGTCATCCCAGCACTTTGGGAGGCCAAGGCGGGCGGAACACGAGGTCAGGAGATGGAGACCATCCTGGCTAACACAGTGAAACCCCGTCTCTACTAAAAATACAAAAAAATTAGCCAGGTGTGGTGGCAGGCACCTGCAATCCCAGCTACTCAGGAGGCTGAGGCAGGAGAATGGCGTGAACCTGGGAGGTGGAGCCTGCAGTGAGCTGAGATCGCGCCACTGTACTCCAGCCTGGGCGACAGAGCGAGACTCACTCTCTCTCAAAAAAAAAAAAAAAAAAAAAGAAACTTCACGTACTCTATAATTTAGAAGTCGGGAAGAACAGAATCTAGCAAGTGCTCAAAGTTGGGATAATGTGTAGAATACTGGTGTTATAACAAGCTGGTCTAGATTCAAGGAGTTTTGTCACTTACTAGCTGGATAAATTTGAGAAAAGGTAACCTCTTGGCACCTCGGGTACCAACTTTGCACGATTGATAGTAGAATTAGATATGTGAAGATGTGTGCTAAGTGCCTAGCATTGTGCTTGGCATACAGTGACAGTGTTATGTACATCTCAGAGAAACAGAGGCTCAATGCTCTGAAGGGAAAAAGAACCCCAAGCAGAAGCAGCAGCAGGTACCTGGAAATATCCTATGAGGCTGGCAGCCTATAACCAGTGCATGGGTGATTGCCCAGTCCAGGAGAATTGTGGGGACAGAGAAATTTAAAAGAATGCATAGGTTATATAGCGTTAGTGTGTCTGAACAGCTTTCTGGGTTAAACTGTTCCTTCCACCGCTTCTTAAAACTCAAAAACATGCCAATCATGCCCAGACACTGAACCAATATAAACAAATGACTGTGTTCTAGGGACAAAAACAGCACAGAGTTAAAAAAACAAAAACAAAAAAAAAACTGCGACACTTAAATACTTACACTGACTTTGGCATATATGTGCCTGTAGTATAATTCTTTGTATAAAATCAGGAAGACAGCATCTGAAAGAGATGGCAGAAGGGTGCTTCACTAACCATAAAACTGGGGTATCCTGGCAGCTTTAGCTCTTTGGTGGGGAGGAATAAAGGTAATTCTGAAGACTAAACAACATCTAAATTGCTATGCATATGCCCCAAGAATACATGCAATGAGAAAATCCACTTCTCATTTGACTCCATCAACCTCAATCTCTGTCGATGAGATTAAGATCTCATTCAGATCTATTTCCTTTCACCATTTAGAGACTTCTGCCATCCAAGTGCATAAAAAAACCAGCACACAAGAGTAATTAGACAAGCGTGGTGGTGCGCACCCATGGTCCCAGCTACTCGGCAGGCTAAGGTGGGAGGATCGCTTGAGCCCAGCAGGCACAGGTTGCAGTCAGCCATTATCACACTACACTCCAGCATGGGCAACACAGTGAGACCCCCATGTCAAAAAAAAAAAAAAAAAAAAAAAAAGGAAGAAAGAAAATATTAATTTCAGAATGTTGTTTGTTTGTTTGAAGACAGGGTCTCGCTCTGTTGCCAAGGTTGGAGTGCAGTGATATGATCATGGCTCACTGCAGCCTCGACTTCCAGGGCTCAAGTGATCCTTCCACCTCAGCCTCCCGAGTAGGTGGGACTACAGGCATGTGCCACCATGCCTGGATAATTTTTTTAAAAAATTTTTTGTAGAGAAGGGGGTCTCCCTATGTTGCTCAGGCTAGTCTAAATCTCCCAGCCTCAAGAAATCCTCCCACCTCAGCTTCCCAAAGTACCAGAATTACAGCCGTGAGCTACGACACCCAGCCACAGAATGAGTTTTGAACTCATTCTGTGTTTAGTCAATTGAGAGTAAATGTTCAGGCCAGGTGCAGTGGCTCATGCCTGTAATCCCAGCACTTTGGGAGGCTGAGGCGGGTGGATCATTTGAGGTCAGGAGTTCAAAATCAGCCTGGCCAAGATGGTGAAACACCATCTCTACTAAAAATACAAAAAATCCGCCAGGTGCCTGTAATCCCAGCTACTCGGGAGGCTGAGGCAGGAGAATTGCTTGAGCCCAGGAGGCAGAGGTTGCAGCGAGCAGAGATCGCGCCACTGCACTCCAGCCTGGGCAAGACAGCAAGACTCCGTGACTCCATCTTAGGGGGAAAAAAAAAAGGAGTTAAGTGTTCAAAAAAACGTTAGCTATAACAAAACAAATGAGAGACTTGTACACTGAAAACACAAAACACTGGTGAACGCAACCAAAGACCTAAATAAATCAAAGACATCCCATGTCCATAGATTGGAGGACTTAATATTGGTTTTTTTTTTTTTTTTTTTTTTTGGGACGCAGTCTTGCTCTGTCGCCCAGGCTGGAGTCCAGTGGCGCAATCTCAGCTCACTGCAAGTTCTGCCTCCCGGGTTCACGCCATTCTCCTGTCTCAGCCTCCCGAGTAGCTGGGACTACAGGTGCCCGCCACCATGCCGGCCTGCCCAGATAACTTTTTTGCATTTTTAGTAGAGACGGGGTTTCACCGTGTTAGCCAGGATGGTCTCGATCTCCTGACCTCGTGATCCGTCCACCTTCACCTCCCAAAGTGCTGGGATTACAGGCATGAGCCACCGCGCCTGGCCTGGAGGACTTAATACTGTTAAGACGGCAATACTCCCCAAAGTGATCTTCAGATTCTAGGCAATTCCTCTCAAAATCCCAGCTGGCTACTTTGCAGAAATTGACAAGTCCATCCTAAAATCAATAAGCAAATCCAAGAGACCCAGAATAGTCAAAACAATCTTGGGGAAAAAAAAAAAAAGAACAAAGTTGGAGGACTTACCAATTCCCAATTTCTTTCTTTCTTTTTTTTTTTTTGAGGCGGAGTTTCGCTCTTGTTGCCCAGGCTGGAGTGCAATGGCGCGATCTCGGCTCACCGCAACCTCTGCCTTCCGGGTTCAAGTGATTCTCCTGCCTCCACCTCCCAAGTAGCTGGGATTACAGGCATGTGTCACCATGCCCGGCTGATTTTGTATTTTTAGTAGAGATGGGGTTTCTCCACGTTAATCAGGCTGGTCTCGAACTCCCGACCTCAGGTGATCCACCCGCCTCGGCCTCCCAAAGTGCTTGGATTACAGGCGTGAGCCACTGCGCCCGGCCTACAATTCCCCATTTCAAAACTTACTACAAAAATATAGTAATCAAGACAATGTGGCTGGGCACAGTGGTGCATGCCTGTAATCTCAGCACTCTGGGAAGATCACTTGAGGTCAGGAGTTCAAGATCAGCCAGGTCAACAAAGTGTGACCCGGTATCTACAAAAAATTTTTAAAAATTAGCTGGGCAGGCTGGGTGCGGTGGCTCATGCCTATAATCCTAGCACTTTGGGAGGCTGAGGTGGGCGAATCACCTGACGTCAGCAGTTCGAGACCAGCCTGGCCAACACGGTGAAACCCCGTCTCTACTAAAAATACAAAAATTAGCTGGGCGTGGTGGCGGGCGCCTGTAATCCCAGCTACGCGGGAGGCTGAGGTAGGAGAATTGCTTGAACCTAGGAGAATCGCTTGAACCTGGGAGGCGGAGGTTGCAGTGAGCCAAGATTGTGCCACTGTACTTCAGCCTGGGAGACAGAACGAGACTCCATCTCAAAAAAAATAATAATAATAAAATAAAATAAATAAATAAATAAATTGGTGCCAGGGTAGCTGAATATCCACAAGCAAAATAATGAAGTTGGATTTGCCTACCTCACCCATATATAAAGGACATCATCTAAGAAAGTCAAAGGTGGGAAGCTAGAGAGCTTATTCCAGAGTGACTGTAATGACCCCCAAATTATAGAAGGAAATAGAAACAAGTCAGTACAAAGATCTAAATTTCACCATATATGAGAGATCTCTGTCCTCTCTTAAATCATCCAGCCTTCGACAAGTTATTTTGCCAAGGACCTACTACATACCAAGCACCAAGGAAACAAAATGGTGAGCAAAACAGACACAGACCCTCTTGAGCTTCCTGTCTAATGACTCAGCCACTGGATTCCACTCAGTGCACAAGATATAAAGAGCTCACACCTACCATTGCCAACCTGTGGAGCAATGGCTTCAGCCTCGGGCCAAGGTGTATTCTTGAAGAATCTTTCAGTCAGCTTGGTCCAGCTAAAAATCAAGAAAAAAATCTCTAAAATTCCAAAAGGACTGGAGAATGCCAATCCTAACATTTTACAGATGAGGACCCAGGCTTAGAAAGGGGAAGATGTCAAATAAACAGAGCTGAGGCCAAAGCCCTTCAAGCCCACAACTGTCCTCAACCCAACTCCACACTTCAATCTTTCTCAACACAAGAAAATATTGTTTTTGTATCAGTTAGGGACCCATCAAGCTTTTCAGGATAATCTCCTGCCTCTGTATCATTAACTATAGCCATATTTAACTGCTTGCTGTTTTCTGCTATAAGAACTACTTTTTTGGCCACCATTCTTTAACACAGCGTTTCCATCTCCTGGAGCACATCCAAACGTCTCTAAACACAGAAGCAAATCAGTCTGCTGCAGTCCAAGGCCACAACAGACCTACAGCATCCAATTTAAACACTGCTGCCTATCCAATCCAAACACTGCTACTTGACAAACCTGCAACAGGTTGTTTAATTTTCTTCTCCTGATGCCCTCAGCAGCTATTAATACTTTCCTCCAATCTCCTCAAGCCCCACCCCTCCTGCTTCTCTGGCTCTTTTAGTCCAACATATAAACATGCTCAAGTTCCCCTAAAAAACACTGAACAGGCCAGGCATGATGGCTCACGCCTGTAATCTCAACACTTTGGGAGGACAAGATAGGGGTATCGCTTGAACCCAGGAATTCAAGACAAGCCTGGACAATATAGGAAGGCCCTGTCTCTACGGGATGGGGGTTGGGGAGAAACACAGAAACAGAACAGAAAAGAAACACTGAAACAGGCCAGGCGCGCTGGCTCACACCCGTAATCTCAACACTTTGGGAGGCTGAGGCGGGTGGATCACTTGAGGTTAGGAGTTCCAGACCAGCCTGACCAACACGGTGAAACCCCGTCTCCACTAAAAATACAAAATTAGCCAGGCATGGTGGTGCACACCTATAATCCCAACTACTTGGGAAGCTGAGGCAGGAGAATCGCTTGGAGCCAGGAGGCGGAGGTTGCGATGAGCTGAGATTGCGCCATTGCACTCTAGCCTGGGCAACAAGAGCGAAATCCTGTCTCAAAAAACAAAAAACAAAAACAGAAAAAACACAGAAACAAAACACAAAGCCACTCAGTGACCCTTTATGTCCCCGATACTTACCAATTCCCCTTTCTCACCCCACTGCTCTCTGGCTGTTGCTTCCATCACTCTACTGACATTGACCTTGCTAAGGTTATCAAGGCCCTCCAAGTTACCAAATTCAACTGGCTTTTTTTCTCATCTGGACCTCACTAAAACATTTGGTGATACTCTCTTCCTCAGTTTCTTCTGCAGACTTTTTGGTTCCTGTGACATTTCTTTGCCAATTTACTATCTACTTTTCACTTTTCTTTCTGCCTCCTTTACTAGATCCTTTCTTTGCCTGCCCACCCATCCCTAAAGAAACATACTTCTTAAGGCACCAGCATTTCTTCTCACATTCTCCTAGAGAAAGACTTACAAGATGCTTGGCTTCAACTGTCATCTGTATCTGCGGGCACTGCCCAATGCAATAGCCACTAGCTACATGTGGCTACTATATAAGCAAAGAGTTAAATTTTAAATTTCAGTTAGTTGCCATTTAAGTTTAAAAACCAACACTTAACTCAGTATTGGAAAACTTTTAGGTCTATTTGGAATTACTCTACTATTTGAAGATTCAAATTTCAAATTTGAATTACTTTTCCAGTCATAAACTCTATAAAATCTAAACACAAAGCAAGTATTTCTGATACACACTGGATTTAGGAAACTTTAAGTATAAAGAAAAAAAAGGGCAAATATCCCCTTAATTTTTAAATACTGATTACATATAGAAATAATATTTTAAATAAATCTCCACTTCGCTTGGCTGAAAAATTAAAATTAATGTCTAGCTACATTTCTATTGAACATCAGGTCCATTTTTTAATTTTGAGAGAGGGTCTCGCTCCATTGTGCAGCTCACTGCAGCCTCAACCTCCCAGGCTCAAGTGATCCTCCCACCTCAGCCTCCCAACTAGCTGGGACTATAGGCATGCTGCCACCATGCCCCAGCTAATTTTTGTAGGCGCTGATTTATATACTTCTAATCAGAAAAGACCCGGGGAATAAAGAAAACACAGTTCAGCACACTTGCCTTTCAGGTCACCCACCTGGCCCTCTTCCAACTGTCCTTTCCTTTCTTTCATTCCTGTTCTAAAGCTTTTTAATAAACTTTCACTCCTGCTCTCAAACTTGCCTCCCTCTCTTCTTCTGCCTTGTGCCCCTCAGTCGAATTCTTTCTTGTTAGGAGTCAAGAACTGAGGATGCTGTCGACCCGTACAGATACAGACTCATCATCAGTAGCATTTTAGCCCTCAGTGTAATTCTTTCTTGTGAGGAGGCAAGAACTGAGGCTGCTGTAGACCTGTACAGATACGGACTCATCATCGGTAGCATTTTACCCCTCAGTCGAATTCTTTCTTTTGAGGAGGCAAGAACTGAGGCTGCTGGAGACCTGTACAGATACGGATTCATCATTGGTAGCATGTTTTGGTGTTGTGTCACTTCAACACCCTTCAGCTGCTAACCTCTTTTGGTGCCGCATGACTTGGATCCATTTGCTAGTGGTGAAAGACCTCGATGCTGCACCTTCTTCGGCTGGAGGTGTTCAACCTCCGAACAAGGTTTTCTCCCTTTCTCTCTCCTCACTAACTAACCCCCAGATCAATTCTTCTTGGTCATAAGTGACTCTGTTCCCATTGGCTGATCTCTCAGCTCAACCTAATGGGTGGCTTGCAGGGGCGGGAAGGACCTTGGAGTCCACACCAAGTAGAACTTAGGCTCACGAGAGTGGCAGGGGTGAGGCCTAAAACCATGCAATGTCTGAGGTTTCCTCTGCTTTTCAACTACAATCAGCTCTTTCAAAACAACAAAAAAAGAAAACACATGTCAGAGATCCTATTCATTGATCAATAGGCCTTTGGCTATTTGTTTTCTCTCCCTCATCCTTCTGACTTGCTTAAATTCTATTTCCTTGGTGAAGTCACTCCTGACTATCCCAGCTTTGACTGACCTATCTTATCTCTAACGCTCATTACACAACGGCAGCCCCTCAAAACCTGCGGAGTTCAGCTTGCTCTGATATGTACTGAAGGGCTGCATAGCACAGTTTAGAAATTAGGCTTTGGTGCCAGACACTGCAGGTTCAAATCTCAGCACATCCATTAAACTAGCTACATGACTTATTTCTGTGCTGTTTCCTCATCTGTAAAATGAGAAAAACTGCTACTTCATGGGCTTACTGTGAAGGGTAAATGAGTAAAAACACAAACAACACACTGAACATTGATGGATCTATCCTGGTAATAAAAACAAATGCTAATCATTATTATTATAATTGTTAATAGTGATATTATTTTAGGCTTTGTATAAATTTCTGAGGATATAAAGTCCAACAGGCCGGGCATGGTGGCTCACGCTTGTAATCCTAGCACTCTGGGAGGCCAACGGGGGTACATCACTTGAGGTCAGAAGTTCAAGACCAGCCTGGCCAACATGATGAAACCCCGTCTCTACTAAAAATACAAAAATTAGGCCAGGCATGGTGGCTCCCACCTGTAATCCCAGTGCTTTGGGAGGCTGAGGCGGGTGGATCACTTGAGGTCAGGGGTTCAACACACGCCTGGCCAACATGGTGAAATTCTGTCTCTACTAAAAATACAAAAAAATTAACTAGGCATGGTGGCACATGCCTGTAGTCCCAGCTACTCGGGAAGCTGAGGCTGGAGAATCACTTGAACCCAGGAGGCGGAGGTTGCAGTGAGCCGAGATCTTGCCACTGCACTCCAGCCTGGGCGACAGAGTGACACTCCGTTTCAAAAAATAAACAAATGCATAAATAAAATAAAGTCTAACAAAATAAAATGTCCCTAGCCTCAAGGACTCACAAAGACCCCCACCCCCCAACCCCCCCGAAAGTACTGTTTACAGAGTGCTCACCTCATTTGTAGGAACTATATTACCAGGCCAGTCCCACCCAGAAAGAGGCCCTTTCAGCCAGTAGCCCATACCTGTTCTCATAGATGTCCTGGATCTCATACACCTTCTGGTCAATGACATCACTGGAGACACGACTGGCCTGTAGCTCATACACTTTCTGGTCAATCAAATCTGAGACAGTTTTGTGGAAATACTGGATGAAGTTTTTGATCACCTCAGGGATCACCTGATAGGTTTGCTGTTCATACTGACGTTCATAAGCAAGGTCCTGCTTTGGATCTCCTGGAGGTTGGATACAACAAATACAGAGTATGCTCAAACCCACATATATGATAGAACGAAATGGCAAGACCACCCCAGAAACTAAACTCAGGTCTGCGTAAAATTCCCTTTTGAATACTCAGAGATACAAACATCTCAAGTCACTCCCAATCTCGTTGTCCCTGTTTCTTCAAAAATATTACCATGACTTAAAGTTATTTTTCACTTATTATCTGTTTTGCACCCTTCTCCCAAGTCTAGGAAGTCAGGAATCTCGTCTGTCTTGTACTCAGACATACCCTCAGGGCCTAGAAAAGTGTGCGTTGGAGGGGAGAGAGGCAAGACTGTTGGAAAGTAAGTGGTAACAGGTACTTAATATTTCTTGAATGAATAACTGTCACCTTTTAAATATATGACTGTGCCAAGTTACTACTAATAAACCTCTCTGCTATATTTTCTATTCTTTAGGAGACATTAACATACAGAACTGCTGTAAGGATTAAACAAAATATTTCATACAAAGTACTTAGAACAATGGATAACACTGACTACTAAGTCAAGTCACTATAACGTTTCAGGAAACCTCAGACACCTCCTAAAAAGATTTCATTCGGGCTTGGTTTGAATTACTTAAATTTTTCACATCAAGATTTTCTTCCTTGGGGCAGGCGCGGTGGCTCACGCCTGTAATCCCAGCACTTTGGGAGGTTGGGGCGGGTGGATCACCTGAGGTCAGGAGTTCAAGACCAGCCTGGACAACACGGCGAAACCTCGTCTCTATTAAAAAAATTTAAAAATTAGCTGGGAATGGTGGTGGGCGCCTGTAATCCCAGCTACTCAGGAGGCTGAGACAAGAGAACTACTGCTTGAACGAGGGACGCGGAGGTTGCAGTGAGCCGAGATCGCACCACTGCACTCCAGCCTGGGGGACAGAGGGAAACTCCATCTCAAAAACAAAAACAAAAACAAAAACAAAAAAGCTTTTCTTATTTGGCTAATAGTTTACACAAGAAAACCATAGCCAGGTAAGTAATCCTTCTCTTCCAAGACTGAGGTGGACTATGATAAAAAGCCTGGTTTATTAGGCTTTATAAAACCCCTCGCACTGGCAGCTAATGACTGACTCCAAACCTGGACCATCAAAGAGCAATTTTTGATGCCTGTCAGAGCTGGTTCTAAGACATTCCAAAGGAACTGATCCCTACGAGTACTCAGCCAGCCTAACCCGTGGTCTCACCTGTGTGCATATCATAGTCGCTGGGATAAGCGTAGGGGTCATAAGCCGCCTAGAAGGAAAGAGACACAGTCAAGGACAGCCGCCAAGTCGTGAATTCAAAACGCTCATCCTAGAGTCTAGATGCCAAGCAGAGAGCTAAGGATACAGAGGCGAATAAGACACTGTGCCTGCCTTTGAGGAACTCACACGCCTTAGAGAAAAGGGACAGTAAACAGACAATGACAATACAACATTACGGGTGCAATGAGGTGGAGCAAAGGACAAGAGGCTGTGGGAATCAGCGAGATTTGACCAGACGGAGCCTAGACCAAAAAAACTCAGGTGCAGAAACACAGAAACGTCTAACAGGCCTTAGTCTCCGGTCTTAGAAAGGGGAAGGACAAGCCAATCGAACACGCGAAGTGGGCGGGCAGAGCCAGGGTTGTCTAGGGACCGGGAACTGTGGGAGCAGCCTGAGGGCCGGGCGGGAGGTCGGCCGGAGCTGGCCGCGACCCGGAAGCTGCCTCGCGCCGGGACCCACATCCAGTGGTCCCAGAGATCACCCCGTCGTGGAGCCCACCGCGCCCTTACGGCCACCTTACCTCAGACTCATAATCATCAGCGGGATAAGACATGGCTGCCTCGCTTGCGAGCACCGCCGGAAAGAGCGAAATGAGCGGCCCGCGCCTGCGTCCTGAGGCCGGAAGTTCAGCCCCACTCGGGCCTGCCGGGAAACCGGAAGCCTTTCCGAGGCCTCTGGCCATCTGAGACAGCCATATCCAGAAGGAAGAGGAGCCGCGTTCCGTGGCTCACACCTGTAACCCCACCAGTTTGGGAGGCCGAGGCGGGCGGATCACCTGAGGCTGAGGCCGGGGGTTTGAGACCAGCCTGACCAATATGGAGAAACCCCGTCTCTACTAAAAATACAAAATTAGCCGGGAGTGGTGGCGCATGCCTGTAATTCCAGCTACTCGGGAGGCTGAGGCAGGAGAGTCGCTTGAACCCGGGAGGCGGAGGTTGCGGTGAGCCGAGATCGCGCCATTGCACTCTAGCCTGGGCAACAAGAGGGAAAACTCCGTCTAAAAAGAATAAGAGGGTTACAAGTAGCCTGAATTTTCCTCTCTTCAAATAGGGACTTCTCAAAGAAGGTGAATCTATAATAGTGGTGTAGATTCAGATATAAGGACACGTATTTGGCGTAAAGGAGAGGCAAAGTTAGAGGAACCAGAAAGAATGCTACACAAAAGATGGCCGGCTTCTCGCGTGAAGGAAGATTCGGATACGGGGGCCTGATGGATTTAGTTGTAGGCGGTTTGCCTGCAGCGAGTAAATTATTCAAACGTTCGGACTTCACAAGACTAAACTTACTGGGGATAAAAATTGAGATTTGGCCGGGCGCGATGGCTCACGCCTGTAATCCCTACACTTTGGGAGGCCGAGGCGGGTGGATGATCTGAGATCAGGAGTTCGAGACCAGCCTGGCCGAAATGGCGAAACCCCGTCTCTATTAAAAATACAAAAATTAGCCGGGAGTGGTAGCGTCCGCCTGTAATCCCAGCTACTCAGGAGGCTGAAGCAGGAGAATCGGTGGAACCTGAGAGGCAGAGGCTGTAGTGAGCCGAGATCGCGCCACTGCACTCCAGCCTGGGCGACAGAGCAAGACTCCGTCTAAAAAAAAAAAGAAAAAAAAAAATTGAGATTTGGTCCCATGCAGTAAGAGGGAATGGAGAACAGGAGCCACCCAACTTTGGACATTAAAGTTGGAGCAGGCAAAGATGAGGCCAGCTGTGTCGCGAAGCCTGGGACATGGGCAGCTCTTGAGTACACCGGGTTCGAGGCCAGGGGAAACCCTCAAGGTAGAGATGGGGTTATAAAGCAAACCAATAAAAACCGGTGTATGAGTCAAGGAGAGGCCTTAGTTTAGCCATCTGCCCATACACAACACCTAGTGGAAATCCGAGTTCCAGTCCCTACTCCGCCACTGATTTGCTGTGTGACCAGGACTCTCTGGGTCCCTTTGTCACGCCGCCCTCCTTGCTTTTCCCACTGAGGCACGCTCCACCTCTGGGATTTTGCACTCACTGTTATCCAAGTCTAGAATCGAATGCAGTGGCACCCCCACTCCCATTCCCTTCCCCATCGGTATCTGCATGGCACCTTCAGGTGTCTGCTCTGATGCCATCCACTCAACATCCTATTGAGAATTGCAATGCCCAGCCCCAACTCCCTATGCTGCGTTCTTGTTTTGTGTTTCTTCCTTGTGCTGTCACCAGAGGTGACACAAATTTGGAAATAATGGAGCTTAAGCTTTACCGACCCTCGATTTGGTTCAGGACCTTCCCTGAACCAAGGAAGAGTCACAGTCTCTTCCTTGGTTCAGGGAGGGTCCCCAACAATGTCCTCATGGTCCTTTGCTTTTGTAAAATTTGTGAAATATTTTTATTGCTGAAACCACCTTTGCAAAAATTGTAACAGTGAGAAAATAATGACAGTGAAAGAGATCTGATCTAACCAACCCTCATCTTCCATTTAATCTTCAGACTGCCCTTAATCATTCCTGGCTCGAACCGAGCTAACTTTGGGAGACATTTAGTTTCTAGTTTAAATAATAACCCTTCTCCGAGGCCTGGCACAGTGGTTCACACCTGTAATCCCAGCACTTTGGGAGGCCAAGGCAGATGGATCACCTGAGGTCAGGAGTTCGAGACCAGCCTGGCCAACATAGTGAAACCCCGTCTCTACTAAAAATATAAAATTAGCCGGGCATGGTGGCATATGCCTGTAGTCCCAGCTACTCGGGAGGCTGAGGCAGGAGAATCACTTGAACCTAGGAGGCGGAGGTTGTGGTGAGCCAAGATTGCACCACTGCACTCCAGCCTGGGCAACAAGAGCAAAACTGCCTCAAAAAAAAAAAGAAAAAAGAAAAGAAATTGGCCGGGCGCGGTGGCTCACGCCTGTAATCCCAGCACTTTGGGAGGCCGAGGCGGGTGGATCATGAGGTCAGGAGATCGAGACCATCCCGGCTAAAATGGTGAAACCCCGTCTCTACTAAAAATACAAAAAATTAGCCGGGCGTAGTGGCGGGCGCCTGTAGTCCCAGCTACTTGGGAGGCTGAGGCAGGAGAATGGCGTGAACCCGGGAGGCGGAGCTTGCAGTGAGCCGAGATCCTGCCACTGCACTCCAGCCTGGGCGACAGAGCGAGACTCCGTCTCAAAAAAAAAAAAAAGAAAAGAAATTACCTGAAATCTTATAGTCCATATATGACAGGAATTTGATACAGGTTGCTCCAATTTGACAACAATTCTCAAAATGTTCATGACATTTGAGAAGGAGTTGTGAAGTCAGAAGATTTTCATGGGGCTGGATGTGGTGGCTCATGCCAGCACTTTGGGAGGCCAAGGTGGGAGGATCACTTGAGCTCAGGAGCTCAAGATCAGCCTGGGCAATATAGTGAGACCCCATCTTAAAAAAAAATTGGGGCCCAGGCACTGTGGCTCACTCCTGTAATCTCAGCATTTTGGGATGTGGAGGCAGGAGGATCCCTTGAGGCGAGGAGTTCAAGACCAGCCTGAACAAAAAAGTGAGACCATGTCTACAAAAAATCAAAAAAATAATTAGCCAGGCACGGTGGTACACATCTGTGGCCCCAGCTACTCAGGAGGCTGAGGTGGGAGGAAAGCTTGAGTGCAGTGAGCTGTGATCACACCACTGCACTCCAGCCTGAGTGACAGTGAGAGATCCTGTCTCAGCACTGTATCCATTATGGGGCAGACGAGGAGAGTACAAATAAACATAGCATTTTTTTCCATATAGTACAATGATAAACCTCACAATGGCGACTGCAAACACTGAAAATTCTGGAAGTGCTTTTCCAATTGTAAGAGAAAGATTACTTTTTTTTTTCTTTTTGAGATGGAGTCTTTCTCTGTCGCCCAGACTGGAGTGCAGTGGTGCGATCTCGGCTCACCGCAAGCTCTGCCTCCTGGGTTCACGCCATTCTCCTGCCTCAGCCTCCTGAGTAGCTGGGACTAAAGGTGCCCACCACCACACCAGGCTAATTTTTTTGTATTTTTAGTAGAGACGGGGTTTCACCATGTTAGCCAGAATGGTCTCAATCTCCTGACCTCGTGATCTGCCTGCCTCAGCCTCCCAAAATGCTGGGATTACAGGCGTGAGCCACAGCGCCAGGCCTTTTTTTTGTTTTTGTTTCTTTCTGAGATGGAGTCTCGCTCTGTCACCCAGGCTGGAGTGCCATGGTGCGATCTCAGCTCACCGCAACCTCTGCCTCCCAGGTTCAAGCTACTCTCCTGCCTCAGTGTCCTGAATAGCTGGGATTACAGGCGTGCGCCACCACACCCAGCTAATTTTTGTATTTTTAGTAGAAACGAGGTTTCATCATGTTGGCCAGGCTTGTCTTGAACTCCCGACCTTGTCATCTGCCCATTTTGGCCTCCCAAAGTGCTGGGATTACAGGCGTGACCCACCGTGCGGAAAGATTACATTTTAACTGGGTTGAGTGGGAGGGTTTATATATGGAAAGAACTTTTGCCAGGACACAAGACCTGGTCCGGTGAGAGCTGGGCAACTGTGAATGAGTCTCTTCCCTCTGCTTTTCAACTCCTCACCTATAAAATAGGGATGGTCCTTCTTGTCTACTTTATAGAAGTGCTTGTGGGGTACGGGATTGTGAGAAGTTTTATGAAAACGTGCACCCATGAAATGTTGCTTGAGGAACACTTATTTGTTTCCTGGTCTTCTCCCATTGGATTGTGAGCATCTCAGGGGCACCAAGTCTGATCCTGTGTCCAGGACCTAGCAGTTACCTGGCTCAGTGACTGGCTGTCGAACTAAACTATTGCTCTAATGTAATCACTTTGTATTACAAATCTTTGTAGATCAGTCATCTACGTCGGGGTTACCTAGAGAACTCTGACTAAAGGAAATCCATTGCATTTAGACACTATTACTCACAGTTTGTAGTGGTATCTCCAAATTTCAACACATTTTCCCTTTCCCACGTACATTATGCATTTGTGGGAAGTTCTTTTTTTTTTTTTTTTTTGCGTTCATTGATTTACAACATCTATATCTACATGGATGGCGTGGCTTCTTCATTTTCCTTTGTGAGTGCCTGCAAATCATCTTAATCTGATTTGCTAAGGTATCTGCTTGTTTTCTCATTAGACTGGGAAATGGAGAGGAAAAAGAAAAAAAAAGGCCGGGCGCGGTGGCTCACGCCTGTAATCCCAGCACTTTGGGAGGCCGAGGCCGGCACATCTCGAGATCAAGAGATCGAGACCATCCTGGCCAACATGGTGAAACCCCGTCTCTACTAAAAATACAAAAATTAGCTGGGCGTGGTGGCGCGCGCCTGTAGTCCCAGCTACTCGGGAGGCTGAGGCAGGAGAATTGCTTCAAGGAGGCGGAGGTTGCAGTGAGCCGAGATCGCGAGCCTGGCGGCAGAGCGAGACTCCGTCGCAAAAAAAAAGCGTCTGAAATGCTGTTTTACTGGCTCCGGTAGCGACGTACAGCGAAAGCCAAGGTCACTTCAAGTTTGTAATTGGTTACAATGTCTGTCAGTCACGTTGCCGGAAACCCTGTCCAATTATCCTGCTTGTACTGTGCCCTCCCTTTCCGATTGGTTTTGGGACCGGTTTAAGCTGGAAGGGTAGTCATTGGTTCGCCGCTCTGTCTCGGCCTGAGCCCGCCCCCGCTCGGTTGCCGTGGTTGCGGGCCCTGCCCGCCCGCCAGCTCGCTGACAGCACGACTCAGGGCGGAGGGAAGTAGGTCCGTTGGTCGGTCGGGAACGAGGCTCAGGCGGCCAGGCCCGCGCGGAGCCGTTGCCATGGCAGCCGCCGCCGGGGACGCGGACGACGAGCCGCGCTCAGGCCACTCGAGCTCGGAGGGCGAGTGCGCGGTGGCGCCGGAGCCGCTGACTGACGCTGAGGGCCTCTTCTCCTTCGCTGACTTCGGGTCTGCGCTGGGCGGCGGCGGCGCGGGCCTCTCGGGCCGGGCGTCCGGCGGGGCCCAGTCGCCGCTGCGCTACTTGCACGTCCTGTGGCAGCAGGATGCGGAGCCGCGCGACGAGCTGCGCTGCAAGATACCCGCTGGCCGGCTGAGGCGCGCTGCCAGGCCCCACCGGCGGCTCGGGCCCACGGGCAAGGAGGTGCACGGTGAGCGGCGCGAGCGGCGCGGGGGCCCGGGGCGGGGCAGCCCGGGCGAGGGGCGGGGCCTCAGAGGACCAGTGGCCGCGCTTTGGTCGCCCCCGACCCTCAGCCGGGGTCCCCCGACGTCTGCGCTGAGGGCCACACTGACCCTTGAGTCTCCTTTCAGTAACGATGGTGATGATGGTTTTTTTAGAAAGTCTTCCTGCTCTGAGCCAGTCACCCCAGTCTTCTCTCACTGGGTAATTTCTGAATGGAAACTTCCCATGACTCGGAACGCTTATTGGTGAATAATAAAATGAGGTACTGGGGAACACTTTTATTATCATGGAGAGGGGAGGCCAGAGCCTGCAGCCAAGTCGTACCAGCTTGTTTAAATGCACGGACTTGGACTCCTTTACCACAGTTAGACCTTAGGGCAAATGATAGACCCTTTCAACCTTAGTTTTCTTTTTAAATTTTTTTATTTTTATTTATTTATTATTATTATCTTTTTGGAGACGGAGTCTCGCTCTGTTGCCCAGGCTGGAGTGCAGTGGCGCCATCTTGGTTCACTGCAACCTCCGCCCCCCGGGTTCAAGCGATTCTCCTGCCTCAGCCTCCCGAGTAGCTGGGGTTACAGGCGCCCACTACCAAGCCCGGCTAATTATTGTAATTTTAGTAAAGATGGGGTTTCACCATGTTTGCCAGGCTGGTCTCGAACTTCTGATCTCAGGTGATCCACCCACCTCGGCCTCCCAAAGTACTGGCATAACAGGCATGAGCCACTGGCCCGGCCTCAGCCCTAGTTTTCTCATCTGTAAAATGGGATGAGTTAAGTAAGGTAATGGATGTTTAGCTGTTATGCTGCCTTTGCTGTGCCCCAAACACTGCTGATACATGATCATCTGTCCTCACAAGAACTCTTTGAGACATAGAAATTGTTCCCACTTTACTGAAGAGGAAACTGAGGCTCAGAGAAATTGTCTTATTCCAGGTCACATAGCAAGTGGCTGTTGCTGGTATTAGAATCCGGGTCAGCCCGACTCAAACTTCTCCTCTGGTATATCTACCATATTGTCTTCTACAATGCATGGGTGACATGGAAACCCAGGCACTGAGAGATTAAGAATGGGGACTTTGGGGATTTCTTCCAGGACTGGCTATGACTCTAGCCATATTTTAGTGATGTCACGAAGATGAAATAAGAATTTGGAAGCGTTGTATTGACCATAAAGTGCTGTATGAAAGCAAGGAATTGTCATGTATCTGAATTGCAATTTTTGACCATATCTCCGATGACAAAGACATTGCTTTCCATTAGCCATTGGAGGGGGAAAATCTGCTTAGGAAATACCAAATTTAGGCAAATCATTTGGGAACGACCTGCTTTGAAGGAGAATATAAGATTATCTGTGTAACCAGCTCACAAAGAGCTTCTGTGTAAATCATTTGCAATAACTCGGGGCTGGCAGAACAACTCAGCCTTGTTTTGCAGATGATAGACCTGAGGCCCAGCTGGGTTAACTAGCTTGCTCAAGGTCACCCTGTGACTACAAGTGATAGAGAGGAAATCTGGCTCCAAAAGTCTTGGAGGATTTGCAGGAGGATGTGGCCTTTGTACTAGCTCCGCCTCATTTCAAGTTTCTCCTTGTTCCCAGGGCACTGTCTTTCTTTTCTTTTTTTGAGACGAGAGTCTCGCTTTACCACCCAGGCTGCAGTGCAGGTGGTGCAATCTCGGCTCACTGCCTCAGCCTCCCAAGTAGCTGGGACTACAGGCCCGCACCACCACACCCAGCTAGTTTTTGTATTTTTAGTAGAGATGGGGTTTTACCATGTTAGATTGATTTAAGTTAGAACTTAACCTAAGATTGAGAAATATTTTTTCTTTCTTTTTTTTTGAGATGGAGTGTTGCTCTGCCACCCAGGCTGGAGTGCCATGGTGTGATTTTGGGCTCAAGTGATTCTCGTGTCTCAGCCTCCCAAGTAGCTGGGATTACAGGCATGCACCACCACACCCGGCTAATTTTTGTGTTTTTATTTTATTTATTTATTTATTTATTTATTTATTTATTTATTTATTTATTTATTTTGAGACAGAGTCTTGCTCTATTGCCCAGGCTGGAGTGCAGTGGCGCGATCTTGGCTCACTGCAACCTCCGGCTCTCAAGTTCAAGTGATTCTCCTGCCTTAGCCTCCTGAGTAGTTGGGATAACAGGCATGCACCACCATGCCTGGCTAATTTTTGTATTTTTAGTAGAGAAGGGATTTCACCTTATTGGCCAGGCTGGTCTCAAACTCCTGACCTCGTGATCCACCCACCTTGGCCTCTCAAAGTGTTGGGATTACAGGCGTGAGCCACTGTGCCCGGCCTATGTTTTTTGTGTGTGTGTGTGTGTGTGTGTGTGTTTGTGTGAGACAGAGTCTCACTCTGTTGCCCGAGCTGGAGTACAGTGGCACAGTCTTGGCTCACTGCAACCTCTGCCTCCTGGGCTTAAGCGATTCTCCTGCCTGAGCCTCCCAAGTAGCTGGGATTGTAGGCGTGCACCCCCATGCCCAACTAATTTTTTGTATTTTAGTATAGACAAGGTTTCACCATGTTGCCCAGGGTGGTTTCAAACTCCAGAGCACAGGCAATCTGCCCACCTCAGCTTTCCAACGTTCTGGGATTACAGGCGTGAGTCACCACGTATGGCTAGTTTTGTATTTTTAGTAGAGATGGGGTTTCAGCATGTTGGCCAGGCTGGTCTTGAACTCCTGGCCTCAAGTGATCCACCTGCCTTGGCCTCCCAAAGTACCGGGATTATAGGCATGAGCCACTGCGCCCAGCCATTGTGGCTTTTTTTTTTTTTTTTTTTCCTGAGACAGTCTCACTTTGTTGCCCAGGCTGGAATGCAGTGGCGTGATCTCATCTCACTGTAGCCTCCGCCTTCCGGCTTCAACCCATTCTCCTACCTCGGCCTCCTAAGTAGCTGGTGTTACACGTGCACACCACCACACCCAGCTAGATGGCTGGGTTTTTTTTGTTGGTTTTTGTTGTTTTTGTTTTTTTCTGAGACAGCGTCTCACTCTGTCACCCAGGCTGGAGTGCAGTGGCGCGATTTTGGCTTACTGCAACCTCCATGTCCTGGGTTCAAGTGATTCTCCTACCTCAGCCTCCAGAGTAGCTGGGATTACAGGCATGTGCACCACACCCGGCTAATTTTTTTGTATTTTTAGTAGAGATGGGGTTTCACCATGTTGTCCAGGCTGGTTTTGAACTCCTGGCCTCAAGTGATCCACCTGCCTCGGCCTCCCAAAGTGCTGGGATTACAGACGTGAGCCATCATGCCCAGCCAATGGCTGTGTTTTTTTTGTGTGTGTTTGTTTGTTTGTTTGTTTTGAGACGGAGTCTCACTCTGTCACCCAGGCTGGAGTGCAGTGGCGCGATCTCTGCTCACTGCAAGCTCCACCTCCCAGGTTCACGCCATTCACCCGCCTCAGCCTCCCGAGTAGCTGGGACTACAGGCACCTGCCACCACGCCCGGCTAATTTTTTTGTATTTTTAGTAGAGATGGGGTTTCACCATGTTAGCCAGGATGGTCTCGATCTCCTGACCTTGTGATCTGCCTGCCTTGGCCTCCCAGAGTGCTGGGATTATAGGCATGAGCCACCGCACCCAGCCATGGCTGTTTTTTTAAACTGGCATCCGTTACTCTCTTTACAGCTCTGAAGAGACTGAGGGACTCGGCCAATGCCAATGATGTGGAAACAGGTGAGTGTGCACAGTAGGTCCAGCTACAGGGTCCCATGGGCTGGTTGGGGAAGGAAAAGGCCAGGTAATCAATATGTGGGAAGGCAGTCTGCAAACTCACGCCCTTGGAGCAGGCTCACTGTATTTATTGTCTGACTGTGCAGTCATCTTGCTGAAGGTAAGTCTGGCTTAGACACTCACTCTCCCCATGCTCCCCTGTCACTTTGAACTTCCTGATGTCATAGCATTTACCACCCTGTGGACTCCTTGATGGTGGAGACCATGTATACTTTTGTATCCCTGGCAGCCAGCACAGTCTTCTGCAAAGAGTAGGCACTAACTTTGGAACTTGTGGTTAATGGGAGTGAATACTCAACTTAGCTGCCACGGCCAGGTGAGGTGGCTCATGCCTGTAATCCCAGCACTTTGGGAGGCTAAGGCAAGAGGATCACTTGGGCTCAGGAGTTTGAGACCAGCCTGGACAACATAGGGAGACCTCGTCTCTACAAAAAGTAAATGTTAGCTGGGCGCGGTGGCTCACGCCTGTAATCCCAGCACTTTGGGAGGCCGAGCTGGGCAGATCACGAGGTTAGGAGATCGAGACCATCCTGGCTAACACTGTGAAACCCCATCTCTACTGAAAATACAAAAAATTAGCCGGACGTGGTGGTGGGCGCCTGTAGTGCCAGCTACTTGGGAGGCTGCGGCAGGAGAATGGTGTGAACCTGGGAGACAGAGCTTGCAGTGAGCGGAGATGACGCCACTGCACTCTAGCCTGCGCGACAGAGCGAAATTCTGTCTCAAATAAATAAATAACATAAGAAAAAAATTTTTTAAAAATGTTGTGGAAATTAGAGAAATATATAAGAAAAAATCCATGTCCGCAAAGGAACTAATCTGTTAATATTTTGATGAATATCCTTCAAGGCTTCTTTCCTATACACTGGAATTTTCTTTATGGGCTGGCTTGCAAACTGCTATATACACATGCTGTAGCCTGCATAATTTTTTGTGTATCATAAACATTTTTTCGGGCCGGGTGTGGTGGCTCACGCCTGTAATCCCAGCACTTTGGGAGGCTGAAGTGGGCGGATCACCTAAGGTCAGGAGGTCGAGACCAGCCTGACCAATATGGTGAAACCCCGTCTCTACTAAAAATACAAAAATTAGCTGGGGGCTACTTGGGAGGCCCCAAGTAGCTGGGGGATTGCTGCCTGCTGGGAGCATAGCATAGGCCAATAGCTTGGGCAGCTGTTTCCAGCCAGAATGGATGTGTATCCAAGCCGAGGTCACGGGAGGGGGACCACTGTCTATGCTAGGGATTCCTGTGACCCTAAAATTTCTGACCCTGAGGGCCTTGAACCTCCTACGATGTTCTATCACTAGACGTGTAGTTTGAGCACTCAGAATCCATGGCCTTCAGTTGTGCCCTCAGAAGAACAAGTTGCTTGTTCCCATAGGACCAGCATCTAGGAAGGGCTGCTTTCCTATGCATTGTCGATGTCTTGTCTAGAGGCACCCCTGAGCCTCCCTCTCCATCGCTCGGGTCTGCAGCTTAGCTAACATCGCCGCTTTCTCCCCCTTCCTCCCTCTGTCTTGGTGGTGTCAGTGCAGCAGCTGCTGGAAGATGGCGCGGATCCCTGTGCAGCTGATGACAAGGGCCGCACAGCTCTACACTTTGCCTCATGCAATGGCAATGACCAGATTGGTGAGTCCTGGGGAGGGAGGAGGGAGTAGGGCTAGGCAAGTAGTGTCTCTGCACAGGCCTTGGGGGAGGCGCTGCTGTCTGCACAGCCTTGGGATGCCCAGTTGTTCTGGATATAAGGAAGACTTGGCACTGCAGTGCCCTGCCCTTCTCCCTCTGTTAGCCTGTGGAACTGGCAATGTTAGACTGGGGCAGGGTAAACCTGGGGGAGATAATATGATTGACTGAGGATGAAGGGATATCTCCAACTAAGAGACCACTGGAGAGTGCAGGGCCCAGGCCTTCAAGACTTTCAGGTAACATTTACTCAGTGCCAACCACAGCAGCAGGACAGCTTTTCTCTTTTTATAGGAGTCTTTTTTTTTTTTGAGATGGAGTCTCGCTCTGTCGCCCAGGCTGGAGTGCAGTGGTGCCATCTCGGTTCACTGTAAGCTCTGCCTCCCGGGTTCACGCCATTCTCCTGCCTCAGCCTCCCAAGTAGCTGGGACTACAGGCACCCGCCACCATGCCTGGCTAATTTTTTATATGTTTTTAGTAGAGACGGGGTTTCACTGTATTAGCCAGTATGGTCTCGATCTCCTGACCTCGTGATCCACCCGCCTCGGCTTCCCAAAGTGCTGGGATTACAGGCATGAGAGACTGCACCCGGCCACACCGGTTAATTTTTTTGTATTTTTTAGTAGAGATGGGGTTTCACCATGTTGGCCAGGCTGGTCTTGAACTCCTGACCTCGTGATCCACCTGCCTTGGCCTCCCAAAGTGCTGGGATTACAGGCGTGAGCCACTGCACCAGCCTTGCATACTTTTACTCAAAGTTATCTCCATGAGATTCACCCATGAATACTGCCTATATCAGTACAGTCTTCCCTCAGTGTTCTTGGGATTGGTTCCAGGACCCCACTCAGATACCAAACTCCATGGATGCTCAAGTCCTTTGAAGTTGGCCCTCCATATCCTCGGGTTCTGAGTCCAGGGTTCATTGAATCTGTGGACACAGTATTCACAGTTAGGGAGGGTGGACTGTAGTTAGTACTTTCTTATGCTGGTTTGTATTTCATTGTGATATACCCCATTTATCCATTCTACTATTGACGGACATTTGTGGTGTTTCCAGGTTTTAGCTTTATGAATGAAGTGTTGTGAACATTCTTGTATATGTGATTTGTGGCTGTAAACACTCATCTATCCTCTATAAACCTAGGAATGGCATTGTTGGGTCACTAGGGTACACATGTATTTAGCTTTAGTAGGTACTACTAAACCTTTTCCCAAAAGGGATGTACTGACACACACTCCCACTCCCCACCAGCAGTGTAAGAGTTCCACCTTTCCCTACGTCCCTGCCAGTGCTTGCTGTTGTCTCTCTTTAATCTTAACCCTTTTGGTGTCTCATAGTGGTTTAATTTGCATTTCTCTGATGGCCAGTAACGTTGAGCACCTCTTCATGTGTTTATTGGCCTTTTTTTTTTTTTTTTGAGACGGAGTCTTGCCTGTCGCCCAGGCTGGAGTGCAATGGCGTGATCTCGGCTCATTGCAACCTCCACCTCCTGGGTTTGAGTAATTCTCCTGCTTCAGCCTCCCGGGTAGCTGGGATTATAGGCACGCATCATCACACCCAGTTAATTTTTGTATTTTTAGTAGAGACAGGGTTTCACCATGTTGGCCAGGCTAGTCACAAACTCCTGACCTCAGGAGATCCACCTGTCTCGGCCTCCCAAAGTGCTGGGATTACAGGTGTGAGCCACCATGCCCGGGCCATTTTTTTTTTTAAACTTTAAGTTCTGGGATGCATGTGCAGAACGTGCAGGTTCGTTACATAGGTACACCTGTGCCGTGGTGGTTTTCTGTACCCATCAACCCGTCATCTAGGTTTTAAGCCCCTCATGCATTAGGTATTTGTCCTAATGCTCTCCCTCCCCTTGGCCCCCACCCCCCGACAGGCCCTGGTATGTGATGTTCCCCTCCCTGTGTCCAATTATTGACCATTTTTACATCCTCTTTTATGAACTATATGTTCAAATCTTTTGTCCTTTTTTTTTTTTTTTTTTTTTTTTTGAGACAGAGTTTCACTCTTTGTTGCCCAGGCTGGAGTGCAATGGCGTGATCTCGGCTAACCACAACCTCTGCCTCCCGGGTTAAAGTGATTCTCCTGCCTCATCCTCCCAAGTAGCTGGGATTACAGGCATGCGCCACTACGCCCGGCTAATTTTGTATTTTTAGTGGAGACCGGGTTTCTCCATGTTGGTCAGGCTGGTCTCGAACTCCTGACCTCAGGTGATCCACCCGCCTCGGCCTCCCATAGCGCTGGGATTACAGGCGTGAGCCACCGCACCTGGCCTCTTTTGTCCATTTTTTTAAAAACAAGTTTTGCCTGGGCGCGGTATCTCACGCCTGTAATCCCAGCACTTTGGGAGGCCGAGGCGGGTGGATCATGAGGTCAGGAGATCGAGACCATCCTGGCTAACACGGTGAAACCCCATCTCTACTAAATATACAAAAACTTAGCCGGGTGTGGTGGCGGGTGCCTGTAGTTCCAGCTACTCGCTGAGGCAGGAGAATGGTGTGAAGCCGGGAGGCGGAGCTTACAGTGAGCCGAGATCGCGTGACTGCACTCCAGACTGGGAGAGAAAGCAAGACTCTGTCTCAAAAACAAACAAACAAACAAAAAAAACTAGTTTTCTGTCTTTTTCTTTTTTTGAGACAAAGTCTCACTCTGTCATCCAGGCTTACGTGCAGTGGCCTGATCACTGCCCACTGCAGCCTCAATCTCCTAGGCTCAAGCAATCCTCCTGCCTCAGCCTCCCAAGTAGCTGGGACGACAGGTGCACACCACCAAGCCCAGCTAATTTTAAAACATCTTGTAGAGACGTGGTCCTGCTATGTTACCCAGCTGTTCTCTAACTCTTGGGCTCAGGCGATCCTGTCACCTTGGCCTCCCAAAGTATTGGGATTACAAGCATGAGCCACTGCGCCTGGCCTTTTTCTTATTGATTTGTAAGAATTCTTTGTATATTCTGGTTAGAAATCATTTATCAAATATAAATGACTTGATTTTCTGAGCTTGCTGTTTCATTTTCTGAGTGGTATACTTTGATGAACACAAGTTCCTAATTTTATTTTTATTTATTTATTTATTTATTTGAGACAGAGTCTCACTCTGTTGCCTAGGCTGGAGTGCAGTGGTGTGATCTTGGCTCACTGCAAGCTCTGCTCCCCAGGTTCAAGCTATTCTCCCACCTCAGCCTCCTGAGTAGCTGGGATTACAGATGCGTGTCACCACACCCACCTAATTTTTTATTTTTAGTAGAGATGGGATTTCACCATGTTGGTCAGGCTGGTCTCGAACTCCTGACCTCCGATGATCCACCCGCCTTGGCCTCCCAAAGTGCTGGGATTACAGGCGTGAGCTCCTGTGCCCTGGCCTATTTTATTTTTTATTTTTTGGAGACAGAGTCTCGCTCTGTCACCCAGGCTGGAGTTCAGTGGCATGATCTTGGCTCCCTGGAACCTCCACCTCCTAGGTTCCAGCAATTCTCCTGCCTCAGCCTCCCAAGTAGCTGAGACTACAGGGGTATGCCACCACACCCAGCTAATTTTTGTGTTTTTAGTACAGACAGTTTCAACATGTTGAACAGCCTGGTCTTGAACTCCTGACCTCAGATGATCTGGCTGCCTTGGCCTCCCAAAGTGCTGGGATTACAGGCATGAGCCACCGTGCCCAGCCATGTTCTTAATTTTAATGAATCCAATTTATCAATATTTCTTTCCTTTCTCTTTTTTTTTTTTTTTTTTTTTTTTTTTTTTTGAGACAGGGTCTGTCTCTGTTGCCTAGGCTGGAGTGCACTGGCACCATCTCGGCTGACTGCAACCTCGACCTTCTGGGCTCAAGCCGCCCTGCCACCTCAGCCTCTCAAGTAGCTGGGACTACAAGTCTGCCATCACTATGCCCAGCTAATTTTTGTGTTTTTAGTATAGAGAAAGGGTTTCTCCATGTTGCCCAGGCTGGTCTTGAACTCCTGAGCTCAAATGATCCACCTGCCTCGGCATCCCAAAGTGCTGGGATTAACAGGCCTGAGCTCCCATGCCTGGCCTTTTCTTTCCTATGGTTAGTATTTTTGTGACCTATTTAAGAAATCTTTGCCTGCCCAAGATGTTCATGTTCTTCTGGAAGCCTGTTTTAGCATTCACACTTATGTCTATGGTCCCTCTTGAATTAGTTTTTGTACATGGTGTGAGGCTCAGCCTGACCTCCCTGTATGATGTCTGGGATCCAGGCTACCTGCCTATGCATCCTTCTGGGTATTGGCAGACCCTGGTGATAATACAGCACACCCCTGAGGTGATCCCAAGACTGCCAGGAGGGAGAGGTTATCCATGGAGCTCAGCATCATTTATTGACTTAATTCCTACCATGGTGCTTGGCTGTGGGAGAAGCAGAAAATGCCCTGGACAGCCTTCACCAGGAGCAGCTGCTATTGGAAGAACTTTACTTAACCCTTCAAATCTCATTCCTACACCTGCATAGGCCAAGAGGCCCTCCCCAAATCCTCAGTTCCTGGCCCTCAGGGCTTTGCCCATGAACTCTGGTAAGTAAGTGAGTGAGTGAGTGAATGAATGAAGTAACACAGCCATCCATGCTTGCATTCCGTGTCCCCTACTCTGAGCCAGCCTCTCTAGCTAGGTTAGGGGTTCAGGGTGCAGGCAATGGAAGCCTCCGACAACTCCTCTTGGGTTTGCCTGTTTCCAGTGCAGCTGCTCCTGGACCATGGTGCTGATCCTAACCAGCGAGATGGGCTGGGGAACACGCCACTGCACCTGGGTAAGCATGTCAGAAGTCACTAAGACAACTCATTTGCAGCAAAGAAAGGCTCTTTAGATGAAGAGGGTGGGGCCCGGCATGCTCCTGGCAGAAACTGTGAGTGTCAGGGAAGATCCTAGGCCTGCACTCCCAGGGCTGCACTGCCCAGCAGCCTGTGTCCCATGGGCCTTCCAATCATTTAGCAGTTGGCTGTGCCCTCGGCAGAGCCAATTTAGCAACCTAGGCTAGCCCAGCAGCACTCAGCACTGTGGCTCACACTGAGGCAGATCCTATCTCCAGGCCTCAGTTTCCTCTGCTGTACAGGGAGGGAGTTGAACTTGACTTCTGAGTCCTACCTAGCTGTGCCTTGGCGATACCTTCTCAGTAGGCATAACTTGGCACAGGCGTCTGGGAGACACAGCCCTGCTCCCTCCAGTGGCCACGCAGAGCCAGGCTCTGGTGGTCCTGGATTCTTAAGTCTCTGTTGTTCTTCCTCAGCGGCCTGCACCAACCACGTTCCTGTCATCACCACACTGCTACGAGGAGGTATGTGGTTTCTTCCCCTCTCTGTCCTCTTTCTCCCCCTCACCCCCAGAATGCTCACCTCAGCTGGTACCTGCAGGGGCCCGTGTAGATGCCCTGGACCGAGCTGGTCGCACACCCCTGCACCTGGCCAAGTCAAAGCTGAATATCCTGCAGGAGGGCCATGCCCAGTGCCTAGAGGCTGTGCGTCTGGAGGTGAAGCAGGTGAGTACCCCTTCTGTGTGGAGACCACGGCACCAAGGCAGCACTGGACAGATGCTGCCCTAACCACAGACACACCTGCCTCTGGTCCCAGGGCTCCTGGGTTGTTTCACACTGACCCCAGTTGGCACCTGCTCCACTGTGCTTTTTGGAAGCAGCATCAGCCTGTCTGCCTCCCTAGGAACCCAGGCAGCTCAGCTCACCCTCTTGTTCCAGATCATCCATATGCTGAGGGAGTATCTGGAGCGCCTAGGGCAACATGAGCAGCGAGAACGCCTGGATGACCTCTGCACCCGCCTGCAGATGACCAGTACCAAAGAGCAGGTGAGCTGCAGCCACAGGCCCAGACCCAGGGCCTGGCAGGAGCCTCAGGGCCAGTCCACCCTGCTCCGATGCCACCAGACACTCGTATCAGAAAGAGGCTGTGGGCTGGGGCCAGCCGCAGGGGCTCACACCTGTAATCCCAACGCTATGGGAGGCTGAAGTGGGAGGATCACTTGAGGCTAGGAGTTCGAGGCTGCAGTGAGCTGTGATTGCCACTGAACTCCAGCCTGAGTGACAAAGCAAGGTCCTCTCAGAACATGTGGAAAAAGGCAAAAATTATAAAAACAACAAAAAAAAAAACCAGAGCAAGGCCCTGTCTCAAACAAAAAAAGTGGGGGAAAGAGCCTATGATTGTGGGGTTGCAGGCTTCAAAGCCTCCGTTCACTTCCTTTGAAGTTGCCAGTGGCTAGTGTGTGTTCATGGCCCTGCCCTCTAGGACAGCGCTAGGCCACCTGGTGTCAAAGATTGACCCTTGGTCAACTGCTGCGTAGTCAGAAGCCACCACACGCCCTGGGAGGAGAGACCGTGCCTGTGTTCTGTGCCTGTGGGATTGTGGAAGAGACCCAGGAGCCCTGGCACACCCCGTGTCCCATAACAGAGCCTCTGTTCCGTCCTGCAGGTGGATGAAGTGACTGACCTCCTGGCCAGCTTCACCTCCCTCAGTCTGCAGATGCAGAGCATGGAGAAGAGGTAGCAAGAGAGGCTCCCTGCCTTCCTGCCACTGCCCCACCCTGCCCCACTGCTGTCTCAGTACCAAGAAAAAGCCCAACATCTGGGACTTGGAGCTGCACTTGTCTGGTGAGGACCTTGCCCTCACCCGCAGATGCCGTGGGGCAGAGATGCTCTCTCTCCACGGCCTCAGAGCCACTCCCAGCCACAGTTTCCAGCATCTCTGTGGACAGGGACCACAGCTCCCAGCTTCTTCCAGTTCTCGCAGCACCAGACCAGCCTCTGCAGCTGCACTTCAGCTCCGCAGACCTGCGCTATCTCAGCAGACCTCACTTGCCCCATGGCCTTCATGGCGCGCTCCAGGCCTCAGACCCTTCTCTGTGTTCCGTCCTGGCCATGGGCTTGTTGCAGTCAGCAGGTGTGGGCTTAGGCGGGCACCCTGTGGCCAGGGGTACTGCGTGAGGCCCTCAGTTGGTCCTGTGCCTCTCACCAGCACTTAGACAGACACGTCACCAGACTTTCAAGGAGATACTGCAGTGAGTTTCTCTGGTTGGAAGGGGAGGGTTGGTGAGTCCCAGACCTTAAAAATACAAGGTTAAGAGGGACCCCAAAGCAAAAAATTCCAACCCTTTTCCTCCCAGTCATTGAAACACCAAAACTATTATACCGGAGGGTGTAATAGTTTTGCTGCCCAGTTGTGGTAGGCCAGTAGTGGCCTCCCAAGATGCCCATGTCCTAATCCCAGGAACCTGTCAAAATTACCTTGTATGGCCAAAGGGGCTTTGCAGATGTAATGAAGTTAAGGATCTTTCGCCAGGAAGATTATCCCAGCTTGTTCAGGAGGGCTTGATGTCCTCACCCGGGTCTGTATAACAGAAGAGCAGGTGACGGGAGAGGAGGTTGGAGGTGTAGCGATGGAGCAGGAAACTGGAGTTGAGGAGGGCAGCTCAAGCCACAGAGTCCAGGCCACCTCAGAGCCAGGAAATGCATCCTCCCACAGAGCCCTGGAAGGCCCCAGCCCTGCTCCCACCTGGACTGGCTCAGTGAGGCTAATTTTATAATTCTGGCTGATTTTAGAACTCTAAGGGAATAAATTTGTGTTGTTTTAAGTCACTAAGTGTGTGGTAATTTATTGCAGCAGCAACCAGAAACTAGTATTGTAGTGAAGCCCCAAAAACTCACCTTGAGGTTCAGTCCTGTCAGCAGCCCCGCTCCCCGCTGCAGGAGCACCAGTCCTTTGCTGTGGGCCATGGACAGGCAGAAGGAAGCGTGCGCTCCTAGCGGAGGCCTGCTCAGGGAAAACCCAGGGGATGGCACTGCTGGGCCCGCCCCTGCCCCAAGGCTGCTGATGGTGACTTTCTCCAGGTGATCAGTCCGTGTCCCGCCTGGCTCTGCCCTACTCTCCCCTTCACCAAGTTGGAATCCCTGTCTACCTTTCAGAGGAGGAGAGTGTGTTCCCCAAACCCAGCTTGGTATGGCTCAGATCTGCATTGAACTCATAGAACCTAGGCCAGGCCTTGGAGGAAAAAAGGGTCTGTCTGTGGGTATGAGATGTAGGGTAGGCCTGTCCCCAGGACCCTGTGAGAGGGAAGCCCAGTGCCCCACCAGGTTGGCAGGGCTGGGGAAGGGAAAGTGCAGTGGCCCCAAGCCTGAAGAGAGGCGGCAGAGGGAGCTGTGGGGCGCGCCCGTGGAACTCAGGCCACTGCCTGAGGTAGGTAAGGGAGGATGGCACCCCAGTCACATGGAGAGCAGAGGTGCGGTTCTGGGGTAGCTTTTCACTCGCTTCCTGCCATGTTACTCTGATCCCCTCCAGGTGAGCCTGCCCACTTTCTGGGCCCAGGGTTGCCATTGTATCCAAACACAGCCCCCCCATGGCCATGGCCCTGGGAATGGGGCAGAGCAGAGAGGAGTCCAGGGCAGAGGGGAGGCAGGGGCAGGAGGGAGCGGGCCTCAAAGTCCAGGAAGGGGGCTTTCTCATGGGTCCTGCTTGCCAGGTCTGTCCTCTCTCACCCTGGCCTGATCACCTGGGGAAGAATTGAGGCAAGGTTTCTCAACCTCAGGCCCAAGGGGTTCAATTAGCGAGCCCTTAGGGAGGTGTGAGCCCCCGAAACGGTGCAAGGTTTTGTGTGGAGAGTACACACATGCGTTTCTGGGAAACAGGTCCACAGCTCTCATTCTCATTCTCAGCAGGCTTCACACTCAAAAAAGGTTAGAACCCTTGCTACAGAGCTGTGGGAGCAGATAGGTGAGGACCTGCCAAGGGCACTCCTGAGCCCACTGTCCCCTAGGCAGGCTGCTTGGTATTTGCAGAGCTGAGAGCTGGGGCATGCTGGGACTGTGAAATCGCCCTGAGATGACCCACAGTCCTTAGCTGGGAAGCAAGGCCTGTGTCTCCTGCAGCATCCTCCATCCCTGGAGCCATGGATCCAGGAGAACTGGCCGTTGCGGAGGTGGAGTGTCTATTGTTGACTCCCTCCCTGGCCATGTAGACAGTGAACCAAAGGCTTGACTGAAGGTGGCTTATAGGTCAGTCATCAAACACTTGCCAGACAGCCATGTAGACAGCCAATCTGCCTCACCCCATTTCCAGCCAGGATATTTCCTGTAACCCCAATTGTGTCTGAAGAGCCAGCCAGATGAAGTCGGCCTCAGACACTGGAGTGAGTCACAAAACACCCAAGTGGTCCCTGAGCTGGCTGGACTGGGCAGGATAGAGAGCTCAGTGGTCCCTGAGCTGGCTGGACTGGGCAGGATAGAGAGCTCAGTGGTCCCTGAGCTGGCCATGGGCCAGGGCAGGAAAGAGAGCTCAGCTGAGGTTGTACTCACAGGGGTGAGTTTTGCTGGTTGCTGGCTGCTCTGCGAATTACTGAAGAGTCGGGGAGGTGCGGAGGAAGGCTTAGAAGATGGCAGGAAGAAGAAACATTTGGTGATTTCACCTTGCGGGTTAAGATCCTTTGCCTTATACTTCGTGTTTCTTTCATGTTAGAAATATTGGGCTAGGCGCAGTGGCTCACACGTGTAATCCTAACACTTTGGGAGGCCAAGGCAGGTGGATCACCTGAGGTCAGGAGTTCAAGACCAGCCTGGCCAACACGACGAAACCCCATCTCTACCAAAAATACAAAAATTAGCCAGACGTGGTGGCGCCCACCTGTAATCCCAGCTACTTGGGAGGCTGAGGCCGGAGAATCACTTGAACCCAGGAGGTGGAGGTTGCAGTGAGCCAAGATTCAGCCACTTCACCCCAGCCCGGGCAAAAGAGTGAGACTCCATCTCAAAAAATAAAAATAAAAATAAAAATAAATATTGACTTATTGACTTAGTGCTTGCTATGTGCTAGGCAGTGTTCTAGGTGGGAGGACAGCAGGGAATGAAAGGACAAGCTCCCTGCCCTTGCCCACCTGCAAACAGTGGTTGTGAAACGTGGCACGTACTCAGAGTACACCGCTATTCTGCGGGCACCCCCACCATGACCACCAAAACTGTCCCCCTCAGTTATCCCCACTGCCACCCCCAAATAGCCCAAGCCAGAAGTCTGGGGTGTCATCTGGGACACGTCTCTCCTCCTTACCCTCCAACAGTCACCAAGTCCTAGCAATTGTACCTCCTAAGTGGCTGACCCATCTGTCCATGTCTCCCCACCACTTCCAATACCTCTATGTCTTTCTCTCTGGATTCTCACACGAGCCTCCTGACTGACCTCTCTGCTCCAGTCAGCACACTCTGTACTTCCTCCCTATGAAAGCCTGCCTGGGCAGCCAGAAAGAGCTCCCTAAAGAGTAAATCTTTTTTTTCTTTTTTGAGACAGAGTCTTGCTCTGTCACCCAGGCTGGAGTGCAGTGGCGCGATCTTGGCTCACTGCAACCTCTGCTGCCTGGGTTCAAGCGATTCTCCTGCCTCAGCCTCCCGAGTAGCTGGGATTACAGGTGTGTACCACCAAGGCCGACCAATTTTTTTTTTGTATTTTTAGTAGAGATGGGGTTTCAGCATCTTGGCCAAGCTGGTCTTGAACTCCTGACCTAGTATCCACCCGTCTCAGCCTCCCAAAGTGCTAGGATTACAGGCGTGAGCTACTGCGCCAGGCCCCCTAAAGAGTAATTTTTTTTTTTTTTTGAGACGGAGTCTCGCTCTGTCCCCCAGGCTGGAGTGCAGTGGCGTGATCTCGGCTCACTGGAAGCTCTGTCTCCCGGGTTCACGCCATTTTCCTGTCTCAGCCTCCCGAGTAGCTGGGACTACAGGCACCTGCCACCACGCCCAGCTAATTTTTTGTATTTTTAGTAGATATGGTGTTTCACTGTGTTAGCCAGGATGGTCTCGATCTCCTGACCTCGTGATCCGGCCAGGCCTCTTCTTAAGAGGTTTGCACAAACAGGAAGGTAAGAAGGTTGTAGAATCCAAACCTCCTTCCAACTAAGAAAAGTGCCTTTCCAGGTCCCCAGGGCTGCCCCAGGCTCAGCCCTACACTTGACAGAGGGCTCAGATCAGGAGGGTTCTCTCAGGCCCTGGGGAGCAGTGGCCAGGACTCAATTCAGCCTCCGCTCCGACCCTCTTGCCTGCCTTGGGCTCTACTGGACACACAATTCTCTCCTGAGTTATTATTATTACGACCATCTGCTCTTCCAAGTGTTTCATTAGCCCCCTGAAGCAAACCTCGGAGCCTCGGGAACCAAGCCCAAGCCTGGCAGCAGGCCATCCATCTTCCTGCCAAGTCCACGGCAAAAATATCTTCCCAGTCCTAGGCCAGGCCTCGTTGGCTTTCCTCAACAGAGCTCACGGAGCAGACTCTTTACCAGTCTCCTCACTTCCAAGAAGGGCCCAGGAGAACCCACCTGATCGGAGTCCTCTGCCAAGTCTAGGCCTCCATTCCAGCTTGTACACAGCAGCCCTGGGAGCTTTCTGAACTGCACATCTGATAGGCCCCCTCCTCTCCTGAAAACCTTCAGTGGCATCACCATCTGCCTGAAGGATGAAGCTCCTGCCCTCCAGGCCTCCCCTGCCCCAATCTCTCCCTGCCTCAGCTGCAGGAGCCACTTACTGCCCTGCACGTCCCCTGCCTTGCACAGGCTGTTGCTCTACCTGGCATGCCCCTCCCCACCTTTGTCCAAGAAAATACATGTCAAATGTTACCTCTGGGCCGGGCGCGGTGGCTCACGCCTGTAATCCCAGCACTTTGGGAGGCCAATGCCGGCGGATCGCTTGAGGTCAGGAGTTCAAGACCAGCCTGGCCAACACGGTGAAACCCCATCTCTACCAAAAAATAAAAATAATAAAAAAATACAAAAATTAGCCGGGTGTGGTGGCATACGCCTATAGTTGCAGCTAGTCGGGAGGCTGAGGCAGGAGAATCGCTTGAACCTGGGAGGCGGAGGTTGTCTTGAGCCAAGATTGTGCCACTGCACTGCAGCCTGGATAACAATCTCTCTCTCTCTCTCAAAAATAATAATAATAATAATAATAGAAAAAAAAAGAAAAAGTTACACAGCCATGGGTTTGTATCCAACCTCTGCCAAACACCAGCGGTGTGGCAAATCACTAAATCTCTATGATCCTTGATTTCTACATCTGTAAAATGGGGCTAAACAGCCGGGCACAGTGGTTCACGCCTGTTATCCCAGCACTTTGGGAGGCCGAGGCGGACGGATCATCTGCGGTCAGGAGTTCAAGACCAGCCTGTCCAAAATGGTGAAACCCCATCTCTATTAAAAAAAAAAATTAGTCGGATGTGGTGGTGGGCGCCTGTAATCCCAGCTACTCTGGAGGCTGAGGCAGGAGAATTGCTTGAACCCGGGGGACGGAGGTTGCAGTGAGCCGAGATGGCGCCACTGTAGTCCAACCTGGGAGACAAAACTCTGTCTCTAAAAGACAAAAAAAAAAAAAAAAAAAAAGGAAAGGTTAATCATATCTATTTGCAAAGCTGTTTTGACAAAGAATGTAGCATGAGGCATATGGTACCTGCTTAATAAATGTTTTTAGAGACAAGGTCTTGCTTTGCTGTCTAGGCTGGAATGCAGTAGCGTGATCATGGCTCACTGCAGCCTTGAACTGCTGCCTCAAGCGATCCTCCCGCCTCGACCTCCCAAAACGCTGAGATTACAGGCATGAGCCAAGCGCCTGGTCCCACTTAAATATTAGCCATTTATTAGCTGTTGATGTTAAATTACCTAGGACTGAGCTTGGAACCAAGAAGGAGATAGTTAAGAGGTGGTGGAGGAAGCAGGGCCTAGGTGTCACCCAGTTGGAAGAATGGGCAGAGGGACTGCCAGGCTGGCTCTGGGCAGGCTCTGGGGGCTGCCCTGCTGGGGGCGGGCTGTGCTGTTCATATTCACACCCAGGGGTGTCCACTGGGCTGGTGCTCCGCTGTGGAGCGGGGACAAGTCGCTCCACTCAACGCCCCTCAGAGAGCTCGTGGCATTGCCCCATCCCTGGCCCGGTGGCGTCCCGCCTTCGGAGAACGGGAGTGAGACAGACGGACACAGGCGGAGTCCAGGCGGCAGGGTTTATTCCGGTCCTCGGGCAGCCTCTCCGCCGTGGACGGGTCCCTCCCTGGGCTCCGGGCCCTGGCCGCCACCAGCCAGCAGCCTCCCGCTAGGCCGGGCGTCTCCGGGGCAGCCGGGTGGGCCCGAGGACGCGGGGCGGACGCGACGCAAGGCGCGGCGGGCACGGTGGCGGCGTCGGCGGCCGCACGGCCACAGGCGGCGGAAGCGCGCGCGGAAGTGGCGCGAGGCGAGCGCGTAGACGAGCGGGTTGAGGCAGGAGTTGGCGTAGGCCAGGCAGTGTGAGGCCAGGCGGCAGGCGTAGGTGGCCGGGCTGAAGGCGAAGCGGCCGTACCAGAAGCACAGGATGAGCGCGTGGTGCGGACCCCAGCAGAGCGCGTAGAGCGCGGCCACCGCCAGCATGGCGCGCCCCGCGCGGCCCGTCGCCCTCCGCCGCGCCTCGGCCGCCGCCGCGCCCGCGGGACCCACGGCGGCCCACAGGAAGCGCAGCGTGCGCCCGTAGGCCAGGCTCACCACAGCCACGGGCAGCAGGTAGCCGGCAGCGAAGGTGGCCACGTCCAGGGCGCGGCGGCGCGCGTCCTCCCAGGCGGGCACGCAGAGCTCCAGCGCGCCGTAGCGCACGGTGCCGTAGTAGCTGAGGTAGGGCGCCGAGAAGAGCGCCGCCAGCAGCCACACCAGCCCCACTGCGGCGCGGGCGTTACGCGGCGTGCGCAGGGCGCGCGAGCGCAGCGGGTGCCGCACGGCCAGGTACCTGCGGAGGGCGCCTGGTCAGCGGGGCGGGCAGGTGCCCTCCCGCAGGGGCCCGCGCCACGTCCCGCGCCCGGGCCCTGCGGCCCAGTGCGCCTCCTGTGAACCGTGGGGGACGTGGCGGGGATTAAGGGTGTGAACGCGCAAGGTGCTTAGGCCCTTGCACCTAGCAAGGGCCCGATCCCGGTGACTTGTTATTTCTAGGATTATTTTATGGATGCGTCAGATGAGGTCCAGAGAGAAGTGACTTGCCCAGGGTCATCAGCTGGAGTGAGCCTGGATTTGACCCCAAGTTTCAAGCTGTGGAAGCAGATGTGTGCACAGCTTGGCCAGGTGTGGGCAGTTAGAAAATAGCTGGGCTGGGCGCGGTGGCTCACGCCTGTAATCCCAGCACTTGGGAGGCCGAGGCGGGCGGATCACTTGAGGTCAGGGGTTCGAGACCAGCCTGTCCAACATGGCAAAACCCCGTTTCTACTAAAAATACAAAAAATTAGCCAGGTGTGGTGGCCTGTAATCCCAGCTACTCAGGAGGCTGTGGCAGGAGAATCGCTGGAACCCAGGAGGCAGAGGTTGCAGTGAGCCAAGATCCAAAAAAAAAAAACAACAAAACAAAACAAAACAAAAAAACTGATGAACGCATTCGTGAGCTTCTTTTGCGATTCATTTCGCGCTTACAGAGCACTTACTATGTGCCAGACCCTGTGCTGCCACTTGAGACTCAGAGGCGTCCTCTGGAAGTTCACAGTGGAGGAGGGGAAGGGCAGGACAGTCCCCTCAAGCACGCCCTGCAGGTGCCCAGAGGCTGCTTGCGAGGGGTCAGGGAGCTTTTGTTTCCTCCCACCCACCTCCCTTTCTGGTCCCCCACTCTCTCCTTCCTAAGGCCAGTGAGGATCTGTTCAGGACTCCTCCCCCAACCCCCGCCCCCACAGCCCTGCCCAGCCAGGCCCCAGGCACAGCGCACCTGTCCACGGAGACAGCAGCCAGCGTAAAGCTGCTGGCGTACATGGTGAGGTAGATGAGCAGGTGCACGGCCTTGCAGACGAGGGCCCCAAAGAGCCAGGCATCCAGCGTGTAGATGGTGGCCTGGAAGGGCACGCAGCACAGGATGAAGCAGAGGTCAGCCACCGCCAGGTTGAGGATGAACAGGTCCGTGGTGCTGCCAGGCTCCTGCCAGGCACTCGGGCCAGGCTGCAGGAGCACTGCCAGCACCAGCCCATTGCCCACTGTGCCCAGCAGGAAGATTAGGGCAAAGACCACAGGCACTGCCACGGCCCCCACACTCCCTGGGCTGTCCAGTGAAATGTTCTGGGCATCAGCCATCTCCCCATCAGACGGGCACCTGGGAAGAGAAGCTGGAATCCTCAGGCAAGAGCCCCCAGTTCTGGTTGCTTGACCCCGGGATCTAACTCCCCCGACCTGGGTCTGGCCAGGTGTTCTGGGCTGGAAGCTCGTGGGAGATGGAGGAGGGGAGAGCAGAGCCAAAGTCATCGCTGAGTGTCACTGTGTGAGCAAGCTCGTGGTGTTCAAGGGGTGAGAGTTCCTCAGTTTCCTAAGGAACACCCCTGGAGTCCTGCCTGGAGGACTACCTAGGTATTTGAGGGACACTTTCAACCCACGAGGCTGGGGAAGGCACAAGCGAAGTAGGATGAAGATATGGCGATGGGGGGAGGGGCCAAACCCAGAAACTGGTATGTTTTCCTTCTCAATGGGGATCTGAAGCTCAGGGGAGACCCTGGGACATGGGTTTAGGGCTTTCTCTGGCTACAAGCTGTAGCCTTAGCAAAACACGGGTAACATCCCTGAGTCATTGGAGGGTCCAGTATAGTGAGATCATCACAATGGCAAAACTGGGAAGACCGTGTAGGTCACTGCTTCCTCTCTGCACATAGGGAAATTGAGGCCCAGAGAGGGGACATGGGAGGATAATATCACACTCGAAATGGCAGCTCTGGGGCTGTTGCCACCCTGGTATCCTGCCTCTTAAGCTAGAGTGCTCATCTGAGAGCTTGTAACAGGTGGTGCCTCTGACAACTTGTGTGTGTGCACACCGCACCCATGCTCACCCCCATCCCACTCTACAGCCCATGTCTCCTACTGCCTGTGGATCTCCTTGCAGGCTTGAGACCACTGGGGTGGTGGGACAAAGTAGGGGAAAGGGGGGTCAGGCAGGGAGTAGGGAAGAAAGGCAATGTCTGCCCCCATCCCAGCACCCAGCATGCAGTAGGTCCCCAAAGCCCAGGATGGGCAACACCCACCTCCGCCTTGGGCAGTGGGCTTGATCCTGGGTGGAATGGCCGGGCTGGGTGGGCCTCCTGATTCAGCGGCTGCCCCTTGGTGCCTCCCTGCAGGTACTGGTCTGCCTTCTACTTCTCCCCCTTTGCCTTTAAGGCCCCTCCTCTCCTCTGCCCCCTCTGCTGAGCCGGAGTTGGGCACTCCCTCTGGAGTAGCCACTGGCCACTTCCTCCTCAGTCCCTGATTTCCCCCAGGTGGCAGGCTCTTCTGCCTGGCTCTTCTCTGCCTCTCTGCGTTGCTGCTGCCTTTTCCTCTCTCTGCAGCCAGTAACCCATTGATCTCGCTCTCTGTGATTTGCTTTGTAGTTAACCCCTCTGTGCCCAGGGCCCAGCCAGTCTCTGGCACTCCCACCTCCTGTGGCCCAGCCTGATGTGACTCCATCCCCTATCCCTGCACCTTCTTGCTCCAATCCATGTTTAGAAAAGGTTCCTAGGCCGGGCATGGTGGCTCACGTCTGTAATCCCAGCACTTTGGGAGGCTGAGGCAGGCAGATCACTTGAGGCCAGGAATTCGAGACCAGCCTGGCCAATGTGGCGAAACCTTGTCTCTACTAAAAATACAAAAATTAACTGAGCGTCGTGGCGGGCGCCTGTAATCCCAGCTACTCTGGAGGCTGAGGCAGGAGAATCGCTTGAACCTGGGAGGTGGAGGTTGCAATGAGCCGAGATGACGCCACTGCACTCCAGCCCAGGTGATGGAGTGAGACATTGTCTCAAAAAAAAAAAAAAAAAAAAAAAGAAGAGGCTGGGCGCGGTGGCTCATGCCTGTAATCCCAGCACTTTGGGAGGCCAAGACAGGTGGATCATGAGGTCAGGAGTTCAAGACCAGCCTGGCCAAGATGATGAAACCCCATGTCTACTAAAAATACAAAAATTAGCTGGGTGTGGTGGCGGGCACCTGTAATCCCAGCTGCTCGGGAGGCTGAGGCAGAGAATTGCTTGAAGCCAGGGGTTGGAGGTTGCAGTGAGCCAAGATCGTGCCACTGCACTCCAGCCTGGGCGACAGAGCGAGATTCCGTCTCAAAAAAAAAAAAAAAAAAAAAAAAAAAAAGGATTCCTAGTCTTGACTGGGGTTTCCTGGAGTGGGAAACCAGGACTTGAGTCTCCTTTCGGCAGACTCCAGAGACTCCTCCCTCAGGCTCTGCAAATCCTGAGATCCTTCTCCGGAAGCTCTTTCCAGAGCCTTAGTCCAGCTGGAGCCCAGATGGTTTAGGTACCTGTCCAAAAAGTCTGGCTTTACCTGATAGCAACGGGGAACTACTAAGATTCTACAGCAGAGACATGACCCGCACATTTTCTTTCTTTCTTTCTTTTTTTCCCCCCACATTATCTTTTGTAAAAAGTTTGTTATGGGCCAGGCGCAGCGGCTCACACCTGTAATCCTAGCACTTTGGGAGGCTGAGGTGGGCGGATCATCTGAGGTCAAGAGTTCGAGACCAGACTGGCCAACATGGCAAAACCCTGCCTCTACTAAAAATACAAAAATTAGCTGGGCATGGTGGCTCACACCTATAATCCCAGCTACTCAGGAGGCTGAGGCACGAGAATCGCTTGAACCTGGGAGGTGGTGGTTGCAGTGAGCCGAGATCGCTCGCACTCCAGACTGGGCAACAGAGCGACTCTGTCTCAAAAAAAAAAAAAAAAAAAAGTCTATTATTGCCCGGGGTGAAAAGGATGGACAGAGTGGGAGAGATTTGATGAGTGACCTGTTAGGAGCCTCTCGTCTAGGCAAGAGCCAAAGAGGAGAATAGGTCTTGGTGAACGGCTGTGTGATTTGGTCATGGAGTTCTGTCCTGAACTGTGTGGAGGAGGGGCCACATGGCCAAATGCCTCCAGAGGGTTAGGGAGGCTAGCACCTGGGGAGCAAGGTACACTGGATTCAGCAATGAGGAGGCTGCTGGTAAACTGGACAGGTGTTTTGAGGGCAAAAGGCAGTCTGCAGTGAGTTAAGGAAGGGAGGGGAGAGGTGGAGGGGCTGAGTGTAGTGTTTTTAGAAGCTGGGGCTGGGGTTGGGGAGCATCAAGGGGAAGTGCGTAAGGGGAGAGAAAACAGTGTGAGGGGCGCTGATGGAGCCAGGACTCGCATCCCAGGCCGGAGGAGCTGGGGTAGATGCTCAGAACTAGCTCCTTAAGGCCAGGCGTGGTGGCTCATGTCTGTAATCCTAGCACTTTGGGAGGCCAAGGCAGTTGGATCACTTGAGGTCAGGAGTTCAAGACCAGCCTGGCCAACATGGTGAAACCCATCTCTACTAAAAATTAGCCAGGTATGGTGGTGCACACCTGTAATCCCAGCTACTTGGGAGACCGAGGCAGGAGAATGGCTTGAGCCCGGGAGGCGGAGGTTGCAGTGAGCGGAGACTGTGCCACTGCACTCCAGCCTGGGCAACAGAGCAAGACTCAAAAAAAAAAAAAAAGAAAAGAAAAGAACCAGCTCCTCAAAGGCCCCGGGGTTTTCACGAGGGCTCAGAGGTGCCTCTATAGAGCCTGATGTCACCTTCTTTAGATGCAGAAATTCCTCAATTTTTGGAAGCAGAGTCTCACGGAATTGAAACTATTAGGAATCTAATCTAGACTTGCCAAACCTGAATTCAGAAGCTTCAGAATTGAATTAATATATATATATATTTTTGAGACAGTCTCGCTCTGTTGCCCAGGCTGGAGTACAGTGGTGCGATCTCAGCTCACTGCAAGTGCAAGCTCCGCCTCCCAGGTTCACGCCATTCTCCCACCTCAGCCTCCCGAGTAGTTGGGACTACAGGCGCCCACCACACCCGGCTAATGTTTTGTTTTTGTATTTTTAGTAGAGACGGGGTTTCACCGTTTTAGCCAGGATGGTCTCGATCTCCTGACCTCGTGATCCGCCCGCCTCGGCCTCCCAAAGTGCTGGGATTACAGGCATGAGCCACCGCGCCCGGCCAGAATTGAATTAATTCTGAATTGAATTCAGAATTGAATTGCGCAAAGGAATTGTAGACTCTTATGATCCCTGAATGGCGAGACTCAGCTTGGTGGGATTTTAGAAACTTTGACAGACCTGCAACCACTGCGTGAAAGTAACGCACCCTTAGACTCCCAGAAGCCTGGACGAATGTGCATGCCTGAACCCTGGAACGGGCTGGAAAGCATCTGAGATTCATGACTTCGCACTCCTGGCCCTTGGGAGCCCCCTGCCCACAAGGTCCTTCTTGGCCTAGGGCGATGAGCTCCCAGCAGCGGCAAGGCTAAGCTGATATGAGAGCGGAGGTGGAGGGAAGGAGGAAGGAACAGGCGGCCATAAAGAGCGCGGCCGTGAGCCTAGACCTTGGGTGCGCCCGGTGCCACCTCCATCCACTCCTACTGCCGCTTCTGGTAGCCCGCGGCCCTGAACCCCGTGCGCGACGCAGAGAACAAGGACATTGCGCCCTTGGGGCGGTCCTCAGAGCCTCTGATTCTGCAGAACGCAGACTTGCAGCTGGTCCACGGCCGGCCCTCCCGCCCCGCGTGGCCCTACAGCTTGTCGTGGGCGGCCGGCGACTACCGGTAGGCGCCCAAGCCGAAACACGTGCACCCAGAGCGGCTGCTGCGCCTCCTACAGACACCTTCTGGATGACTGCGGAAGAAGCGCGGCGGCGGACCCGGGCTGGTGCAGCAGGACACGCTGAGCCGCGGGTTGGCCAACGGCGTGGAGCCCTACCGCGATCGGCTAGCCCAGGGGGTCGCGGCGCTGCCAGCGCAGCAGGGCAACGCCAGCGGCGGCTCCTGGGAGCCACAGGGGCGGCGACGCACTTTCTGCGCCGCTGTCTGGATCTCGCCTCGTGCCGCCTCACGTCGGTCTGGGTGGACCTGGGCCCTCTGTTCTGGCCCCGCCGGGTGCAGCACACCGACTGCCACACGTCACCCCGCAGCTGCCCGTGGCGCTTAACATGAGCTGCTGGCTAGAGCAGACCATGCTCATCCAGCTGCTGGCTCGACATTACTGGTTGAGCCCTTGTGCACATCCCCTGCAGCAGCGCGCCTGGTGCCACGTGCCCTAGCCGGTGGTGGTGGGCTGCAAATGTTCCTGCCGCTAATGTGGCCACAGCTACCCCAGCCAGGCTGCCTTCCACCCTCACACCGACCCCCCACACCCCCCCTCCCCCAGCTCCTGGACCCCAGCAGCAAGGTCCTCCGGATCGCAGGCTGGGATTCCCTGAATCCCAGCTTTCAGATCCTGCAGGGCTGGGCCAGAGCCCAGCTCATATTACATTGTTCATCCCAAGATAACAGGCAAATGGGTGGGCTGGAGGTGCAGGACGTCAGAGAGAGACGTAGGGCTAGTTTCATGTCGTTAATGATAAAGGGCCTTTTCGTCCTCTGTCCCAAGCAAACTAAGAGCTTCCCAAGGTCACACCACGCTGAGGGTGGAGCTGCGGGGACCCCACTCCCCACCCCACAAGGGGTCCACAAGGTCGCCAGGGAGAGACCGCCCTCCTCCCGCAGGCCCCTCCAACAGGAAAGCGGCGAGCCGTTGTGGGGCACAAGGGAGGATGGGGCCTTGGCAGCAGCAAATCGCCTCTCCTGGCCTTGACTGCTGGGCAGCCTGAACAGCCGCGGCCCAAGGCCCCCAGTCTGGAGGGGCGGGGCGAGCCGGCGGCCGCGGCCCGTGCTCGCAGCACCCCCTGGTGGCTGATCATCGTAGGCCTTGGAATGAGCGAGATGGAAGGACCTCAGACCTCAAGGCATAGTGGCAGGAGGACTGAGGCACACACAGGGACTGGAGCTTGCCGAAAGCCAGAGTAAGGCAGGGAGAGAGTGGGCGCGAACACAGGGTTCCAGACTGTCTGGAGCTTCCCCAGGGGTGATCCTCATTCTTTTCTTTTGGGCCTGAATCCTCTGCCTCTCCTTCCAAACATGGACACCCAGCCTCCTCCTATCTGGGCAGCTACAGGACATCTTCCAGTGGGGAGAAGGAAGAAGCTAGACTCTAAGACTAGACTCAGGGGCTGCAGAGTAGCGGGCAGTGGCAGGGTAAAAGGCCTGTGGGGCTAGTTCTCAGCAGCCCTCCACAGCAGCACAGAAACTACCCGAGACAAACGGTGGACTGGGCCTATCTCCCAAAGGCCTGGGTGCCAGCTTTTTTTTTTTTTTTTTTTTGAGACAGACTTCTGCTCTTGTTGCTCAGGCTGGAGTGCAATGGCATGATCTCGGCTCACCGCAACCTCCACCTCCCGGGTTCAAGCGATTCTCCTGCCTCAGCCTCCTGAGCAGCTGGGATTACAGGCATACGCCACCACGCCTGGCTAATTTCGTATTTTTAGTAGAGACGGGGTTTCTCCATGTTGGTCAGGCTGGTCTCAAACTCCCGACCTCAGGTGATCCGCCTACCTTGGCCTCCCAAAGTGCTGGGATTACAGGCCTGAGCCACCGTGCCCGGCCACTGGGTCCCATCTTAATCTAGGGAAAGAGGTCAGTGGAGATCTGCAGTCCTCAGGCGCCTCCCCTCAGAGCCCTGGCTCCTGCCTGATTCTTCAACCGGCCACAGGACTGGGCCTGCCCAGAGACAATAAAGCAGACCAGAGTGTCACAGCCAATTTTCACACTGTTGTTTCACATTCTCACAGCCCTCAGCACAGGTCACGTCCCAGCCCAGCTCTGGGACTTTGGTTCAGGGCTCAGAGCCTCTGGTCTGGGCTGATCGAAAACCTCCTTTGACCCTGTGGCAGTAGGCGGACCTTGGCTCTTCTCGTCCTTACCCAGAGCTCAGGGCAGTGCCCCGTGCAGTCGCCCCACTTCCACGAAGGCCTCCACGCAGCGGTCAATGTCTTCCTCGCTATGCACTGCTGAGATCTGTACCCGGATCCGGGCCTTGCCCTTGGGGACCACGGGGTAGCTGAACCCGATGACAAAGATGCCTGGGAGGGTAGAAAGCAAGGGCGTGCCAGAACCAACAGGCTTGGGGGCAGAACACAGAGGGCAAGGGAACTGCCCCAGGTCTCAGATTCGGGACTGCCTCATGGCTTGGGGTGTTCAAGCTTAGACAGACAGCTGGCCTAAGAGGCCGCAGCGTGGCTGGGTACGGGGCTGGGTCACAGTCTAGGGGTTTCCCTTTCTCTTCTCTCAGGACCCACCACCAGTTCCCTTGTCTCAGCACCCTTACCTCTCTTCAGCATGTCATCCGCCATGCGAGAGGCCAGCCGGGCATCACCCAGCATCACAGGGCAGATGGGGTGACTGGCTCCCGAGATAGTGAAGCCAGCAGCTTCCATCTTACTACGGAACCTGTGGGCACAAGGTGTCACAGGTAGCTAAGGGGCCGTGGAGCATTCACACCCGCTCCTTGCAGGGACCAGGCCCGAGGTCTATGCCCAAGTCTGCAAGAAGGATCAACAAAGACAGTTACAAGCTCTAAGAGGCAGAGGGGAGCCAGGCAGGGGGCAGGGAGAACAACAAGGGAGGTGGAAAGACAGGAGGGATAAGAAGGAGACACAGAAGCTAGAGGGGAGAGGCAGGGACAGAGAGAAGGGAGGGGAACAGGCAGAAGCAGACCCGGTGGGCACAGAGCTGTCTGTGGGCCTGGGCAGACACATGAGGCTGGCTCTCACCACGTCTCTCCGCCCCCGAGCCTGCCCTGCTGGGAGTCGCACCTCTGGGTCTTGGCAGCCATAGACTGGACAATGGTGTTACTCCCCATCAGCAGATCTAGGGCCTTGGAGGCGCAGCCAACGACAGCAGGTGGCAGACTGTTGGAGAAGAGGTATGGCCGGGCGCGCTGCCGCAGCAGGGACACCAGGGGCCCAGGCCCTGTCGTGTAGCCCCCTGAGAAGAAGGGAAGAGGTGGGGGGAGGGGTTGGTCAGGGGCCAGAGCCTACCCAACCCCCTCCTGAAAGTACAGTCCATGCTGCCCTCCCCACTTCCCTGAGCCCCTCCAGGGCCCTTCAAAAGGACAAGGGGACCCCAGGGACACAACCTTGCAGGTACCTGATGCTCCACCCAGGGCCTTCCCCAGGGTGGAGTTGATGATGGTGACCTGGTCCATCACACCCAGCAGCTCATCTGTGCCCCTGCAAGGGAAGCCACCGCTGCTGTCACTGGCCTCCTGAGAGCCCAGGGATTATGGATCATGCTGGGGACTGGCCTCCTCGTTTCCCAGCCACCCTCAGAAGCCCCACCCCAGGCCTCAGGTGCCACATGGTCCCACCGTCCTGTGGGCCCCAGGAAGCCAGTGGCATGGCATTCATCCATGAAGACCAGGGCACCATATCTAGAGGCGAGGCAGCAGATCTCCTGCAGGGGTGCGATGTCGCCATCCATGGAAAAGGCCCCATCAGTGGCCACCAGGCGCAGCCGATGCTTCTGCAGGAAAGACATGAGCAGATGGTGGGTGGTGTCAAGTTGGGCCAAACCACCCGTCTCTTGTGCTGCTTGGAGCTCTGAGAGCTCATCCTGCCCAGTGCCCAGCACAGAGGTGGGCACAGAGGTACCACCATCTTGGGGGCTGGAACATCCTCTCCCTCATCTGTGCCTCTCAGCGTCACCCATCTCCACCCTGAGCTCTGGACAGTGAGAATGGGCTCACATCTCAGTCTCCTGTGTAAGGTCCCAGAGGGCAGGCTAGGCTGGGACCAGGTCTCACCAACATGTACATTCTATCCTTATGCCTAGCAAGGGCCTGCCACACAGAAGGTGCTTGCTAATACTCAAGGCAGGCCGGGCACAGTGGCTCACACCTGTAATCCCAGGACTTTGGGAGCTTACGGGTTCGAGACCCACCTGGGCAACATAGTGAGACCCTGTCTCTACTAAAAATTTTAAAAACTGGCTGGGTATGGTGGCTCATGCCTGTAACTTTGGGAGCCCAGGAGTTCAAGACTAGCCTGAGCATTATAGTGAGACCCTGTCTCAAAAACAAACAAACAGGCTGGGTGCGGTGGCTCATGCCTGTAATCCCAACACTTTGGGAGGCTGAGACAGGTAGATCACCTGAGGTCAGGAGTTCGAAACCAGCCTGGCCAACATGGCTAAACCCCATCTCTACTAAAAATAGAAAATTAGCTGAGCACGGTGGTGTGTGCCTGTAATCCCAGCTACTCCAGAGGCTGAGGCAGGAGAATCAATTGAACCTGGGAGGCAGAGGTTTCAGTGAGCTGAGATCACGCCATTGCACTCCAGCCTGGGCAAAAAGAGTGAAATTCCATCTAAAAAACAAATAAATAAAAAACTGGGTGTGGTGGGCACCGGTAGTCCCAGCTACTCAGGAGACTGAGGTGGGAGGATCGCTCGAGTCCAGAAGATTGAGGCTGCAGTGAGCTATGACTGCACCATTGCAATACAGCCTGGGCAACAGAGTGAGACTGTCACACATACACAGGGAAAAACCTCAAGGCACCATGGCACAATGGAATAATGCTCTGGTGCCAGGCACAGTGGCTCACGTCTATAATCCCAGCACTTTGGGAGGCCTAGGTGGGTGAAATCAACTGAGGTCAGGAGTTCGAGACCAGCCTGGACAACATGATGAAACCCCGTCTTTACTAAAAATACAAAAATTAGCCAGGTGGGGTGGCGGATGCCTGTAATCCCAGCTACTTGGGAGGCTGAGGCAGGAGAATCACTTGAACCCAGGAGGTGGAGGTTGCAGTGAGCCGAGATCACACCACTATACTCCAGCCTTGGCGACAGAGTGAAACTCTGTCTCAGGGAAAAAAAAAAAAGAATAATGCTCTGGGTGTGAGGGATCTGGGTTCACATCTTGGACAAATCTCTGCTGTTTCAAACTTTCAGGCTATCTCTGTGAGTGAGGAGTTGGCCTCTCTAAGCCTCACTTCCTTCCCCAGGCGGAGGCTGAGGGTGGACCCAGGCGTCGCCCCACCTGGGCCTCCTGCAGCTTGGCTTCTAGGTCGGCCATGTCCAGGTGGCGATAGCGGTACTTGTGGGCCTTGCACAGCCGGATGCCGTCGATGATGGAGGCATGGTTCAGCTCGTCCGACAGGACTGCGTCCTCTGGGGTCAGCAGGGCCTGGAGGGAGGCAGTGAGCGTAGAGCCATCATTTAACCACCCTGGGCTTCTCCCTTGACCGGGACTCCAGCAAATCAAAAAACTGTACTGCCAGCCAGGGCGCTCCTCTGGGTAGAGAGGCAAGGTGTTCTGTGCTTCTCTCTGGGGCCCCCGTGTCTCAGTGCCGGGCTGGACCAGCGCCCTGCTCTAGTAAGAGGAGGTGAGAATATATTTGGTGAGTACCAGGCCCCCGCCTCCCCCAGCCTTCCAGCTGATGTAGCTTATCCCCCAAAGGCTCTGGAACTCAGGCTCCCTGCAAGCCCCAGGATTCCTCCTGGAGCACCTACCTGGCCCAACCTTGACCTCCAGAAGCGGGCTCTGGAGCCTCTAGGCATGGCACTGAATCCTGCTAGGTTCTCCCGACTGCCCACACCCAAGCCTTCCTCAGCCTAACAGGCCCCACCAACCCTCACCCGCAGGACAGCTTCCACACACCTCAAAGAGGCCGGCGTTGGCGTCATAACAGCTGGGATAGAGGATGGCATCCTCCCGCTGGTGGAAGCGGGCTATTTTTGCTTCTAGATTCTTGTGGATGCTCTGAAGAAAATGAGTGAGACACGTGTTGATGCCTGTGGGGTCATGTGGGACAAGTTCGAGGGGACAGAGGCTTGGAGGACCACAGAGACCCAACCCAGAAAGCCTGCAGCCTCAGTCTCCTTACTTTCTGCCACACATGGGCTATCCCAGAGCTGCCAGGAATCTGACAGACAGTTCCCACTGAGGAACTGGGGACCTGTTAGGTTCCCTCCCTGGGCAGACTTTGGTTTTACAGTGGCAGTCTAATGGTGGAATTACGGGCACTCGTGGAGAAGAAAGATGTGTCTTCCTAACACCATACTGAGTGTCTTTTTTGGTCGCCTAATGGTGAAGAAAAAGATCACAGAGGTAATTCTGGGTTCACCTGGGCCTCTAATTTGTAAATTTGAAAACTGTTGGGTCTGGGTGAGGGCTTTGCTGGGAAGTGACTGGATGCGAGTCAGGAGTTCTGCCTCTGACATTCATTTCACTCTCACCTTTCTGAGAGGGCAGTTAATGATAATCACAAGTAGTCAGGAGCACAGACTCTTTCTTTTTTTTGGCAAATGAGACAGGGATTCTCTGTCACTCAGGCTGGAGTGCAGTAGTGAGACCATAGCTTACTGTAGCCTTGAACTCCTGGGCTCAAGTGATCCTCCCAACTCAGCCTCCCCTCCCTAGTAGCTGGGACTACAGGTGCGCACCACCACACCCAGCTAATTAAAAACATTTTTTTTTTTTTAGAGAGAGGGTCTTGCTATGTTGCCCAGGCTGGTCTCAAACTCCAGGCATCAAGTGATCCTTCTGCTTTGGGCTCCAAAAGTATTGGGATTACAGGTGTGAACTACCATGCCCAGCCAGCATGGACTCTTGAGCCAGGGTTCAAATCCCACAACAGGCTGTGTGCCTCTGGGCAAGTCACTTAACCTCTCTGGATCTCAGTGTCCTCATCTCAATAGCGGGAATAAGAATAGCAACTATCACTTAGGATTAATGAGTTAATACTTGTAATGTTCTTTTTTTTTTTTTTTTGAGACAGAGTTTCCCTCTGTCACCCAGGCTGGAGTGTGGTCGCACCGTCGTGGCTCACTGCAACCCCTGCCTCATGGGTTCAAGCGAGCCCGGCCAGCTAATTTTTGTATTTTTAGCACAGACAGGGTTTCACCATGTTGGCCAGGCTGGTCTTGAACTCAGTAATCCACCCACCTCGGCCTCCCAAAGTGCCTGGATTACAGGCATAAGCCACCACGCCTGGCCAATAGTTGTAATTTTCTTAAAAGAATTCCTGGCACATAATAAGTACTATTTAAGTTTCATACTTATATAAATTTATTTTGTAACATTTGGAAAATAAATAATAGCCAACATTCATTGAGCAGTACTATGTGCCAGGCTGTTCTATGCTTTTTTTTTTTTTTTTTTTTTTTGAGACAGAGTCTCACTCTGTTGCTCAGGCTGGAGTGCAGTGGCGTGATCTCAGCTCACTGCAACCTCCACCTCCTAGGTTCAAGCGATTCTCCTGCCTCAGCCTCCCAAGTGGCTGCGATTACAGGCACCCACCATCATGCCAGCTAATTTTTATATTTTTGTAGAGAAAGGGTTTCGCCATGTTGGCCAGGCTGGTCTTGAACTCCTGACCTCAGGTGATCCGCCTGCATCAGCCTCCCAAAGTGCTGGGATTACAGGCATGAGCCACTGCGCCCGGCCTATTCTAAGCATTACATGTATTAAGTCTTTAATTTGTAATGATCCTATTAAGTGCTATTATCTTCATTTTCCCTATGAAGTAATTGAGACAGAGAAAAGTTAAGATACTTGCCCACAGGAACAGGGACACTAAAGGGCAGCACTGGCAACTGTGCTCCCGTCAGAACAGCCCCAGAGCCCTTAGTCTCAGTTCCTGCCGCCTACTCCTCTTTTCTTATAGAAGGTCAGGTGTGAGGGACTCTGTTTTGCAGGTGGGAAAATGAATGCTCAAAAAGGCAGTTTCCACTTTGGAAGGCCAAGGTGGAGGAGATCACTTGAGGCCAGGAGTTCAAGACCAGCCTGGCCAACATGGTGAAACCCCATCTCTACTAAACATATAAAAATTAGGCCGAGTGCGGTGGCTCACGCCTGTAATCCCAGCACTTTGGGAGGCCAAGGTGGGTGGATCACGAGGTCAGGAGATCGAGACCATCCTGGCTAACACAGTGAAACCCCGTCTCTACTAAAAATACAAAAAATTAGCCGGGAGTGGTGGTAGGCGCCTGTAGTCCCAGCTACTCGGGAGGTTGAGGCAGGAGAATGGCGTGAACCTGGGAGGCGCAGCTTGCAGTAGCCAAGATCATGCCACCGCACTCCAGCCTCAGCGACAGAGCGAGACTCCATCTCAAAAAAAAAAAAAAAAAAAAAATTAGCTGGGTGTGGTAGCATGCCTGTAATCGCAGCTACTCAGGAGGCTGAGGCATGGAGAATCCCTTGAGTCTGGTAGGCGAAGGTTACAGGGAGCCAAGATTGTGCCACTGCACTCCAGCCTGGGTGACAGAGCAAGACTCTGTCTCAAAAAGAAAAAATATATATATAAAGTTCCTTGGCCAAAGCTTTTCAGCAAAACAGAGGCCTGCACTCAGCCTTTCTGCTGCACAGCTCTGAGGCCAACAGTAGGCCCAGGGCTGTGGCTGAGCTGAGCTGGCTAAACCAGCCTTGCTGACTGTGGGAAGCAGGCAGCTGGGGTCAGTCCCCACAACCCCCCACCACTCACTGTGTACCTGGGTTCCACAGATAAAGCGGACAGAGCTGAGGCCAGCTCCAAACTCCTCCAGAGCCTGCAGACCTGCCTGGATCACCTCAGGGTGGCTGCTCAGGCCCAGGTAGTTGTTGGCACAGAAGTTAAGGATTCCTGAGGTGAAGGAGAGGAGATGGATACAGCAGCTCAGGTGGGGCAAGGGCAGGCCTGGAAAGATGACAGTGCCAGGCCCTGGGGAAATGGTCCAGAAAGGAAACAGACCTGGAGTCACCATTGAGGAGGCACCAAATTCAACAGCTACAGAAGGAGCGTCAGTGCTACACATCTTGAAGAGCAAGAAGTTTAAACTTTTTTTTTTTTGAGACAGGGTCTAGCTCTGTCGCCCAGGTTGGAGTACAGTGGTGCAATCATGGTTCACTGTAGCCCCAACCTCCCAGGCTCAAGCAATCCTCCCACTTAACCTCCTGAGTAGCTGGGACTACAGGTGCGTGCCACCATGCCCGATTAAATTTTTTTATTTTTTGTAGAGATGGGGTCTCATTATGTTGTCCGTGCTGGTCTCGAACTCCTAGCCTCAAGCAATCCTCCTGCCTTGGCCTCCCAAAGTGCTACGATTTCAGGCACAAGCCACTGTGCCCAGCCTAAACTCTGGCTTTGAATCACATTCTACCCAAGGAGGAACTCAGCCCTTCCTCACAGGCTTCTCCTGTGCCTGAAGACCACCACTGACTCCTTATCTGACCCCTTGGTTTCCTTGAGGGTTAAAGAAGAGGGCTGGATCAGACGCCTGCTGCAGTCCTGGAACTCCACAGTTTACTTTGCTGCCAGAATCACACCCCCAAAGGTAGGTGCCTGAGATACCAGTCCCCGAATTCTAAAGCCCAGAGTGAACACAGCTGACCTTAGGAGCAAACAGCCAGAGGGGAAAGTTCACACAGCCTGGGAAAGGCAAAAACAGGATGAGAACTTGGGTCTCCTAATTTCCCATCTTTTGACCGGCTCTAAGCTTCCCCTGAGGGAGAGAAGGGATTACCTGGGACCTCTGTTTTACAAATGAGTGCAACAGCACCAAGGGTTCTATGCCTATTTCCTGGGCAGAAGGCAGCTTTGGGAGCTTGTTGATGATTACCACTCACCTGAGGCCTGACACGAATAAGTCAGGTGTAACCACTGGTTAGAGTGAAATGAGGGAGGGCTGGGAGTGGTGGCTCACGCCTGTAATCCCAACACTTTGGGAGGCTGAGGCGGGAGGATCACTTGAGGTCAGGAGTTCGAGACCAGCCTGGCCAACATGGTGAAACCCAGTCTCCACTAAAAATACAAAAATTAGCCGGGTGTGCTGGCACGTGCCTGTAGTCCCAGCTACTTGGGAGGCTGAGGCATGAAAATCGCTTGAACCCGGGAGGCAGAGGTTGCAGTGAACCGAGATCTCGCCACTGCACTCCAGCCTGGGCGACAGAGCAAGACGAGACTCCATCTCAGAAAAAAAAAAGGAAAGAAAGAAATGAGGGAGACCTGGCAGGGCCAACTCATCATGTGATTTCTGTGGCAGCCCTGGGACCCCTTGCTTGCTATGAGTTTACCCAGCAAGCTGTCCTCTCTGGCCAGTCAGGCAATGTTCCAGCTCCAATATTCCAGCGCTGCCTGCAGCTAGCTGGGGGCTTTTGGGCAAGCCATTTCACATCTGTGGATTTCAGCCTCTTCGTTTGTAAAGTGGAATTAGTCATTCCTGCGTCTAGAAGTTAGCAGGAGTTCACGTGCAGCAACAATTGGTAGAGACCTTCACAAAGGAGCCGCTCAAGAAATGCGGGTTTTCTTGCTGGGCAAATCGCCTCCCTCCGTCAAAAGGGTTTAACCAGGCAAGAGTCAATATTAGGAAGCCATAAAGTCGCCCTGAGAGATGCGAAGGGGAACAGTAGCTAAGAGTGTAGGAGCCGCCCACCCCCACCTCCAGGACCTCCATTCCAGCGCAAGCTCGGGAAAGGTCTTGGAACGACTCCCGGAACGGAGCGTTACCTCCGGAGACGCCGTCCACGCGGATGTGCGGCCCCTGACGGGACGTGATGACCCGCTCACTCTTCCAAGTGCCAGCTCCGCGGATGCCTTCCAGCTCCCCCTCCAGAATGCCACGCAGCTGGGCCAGCGCTGACTGTGCGCGGCGGCCGCGGGGCACCCAGAAGAGTGCGGCGCGCCAGGCGTTCCCAGGCCACATCGCTCCTACCTCGCCCGAGCGCGCCTGCCTGCCTGGGAGCCGTGCGCATCGCGGACGCAGCCTGGTCGCGTGGCCGGGGGCCGGGCTCCAGCAGCCAATCGGAGCTAGGGGGGCTCGCTTAAAAAGGCGGGGAGGCGGGCCTAGGACGGGTGGGCGGGGCCTGGCGGGATCCGCCAGGGACCGAGAGGCTTGACTTGTAAGTTGAGACTGCCGAAGTCCGGATGGCAGAGGGGAGGGAAGGGGGCGGAGGAAGTCGCGTCAGGGCCAAGCCCACCAGACTCCCCACCGCATTCCCACGTACTCACCTCTCGGCCGGAAATGGGGTACCCTCTGGACCCCAAAGGCAGAAGCCTAGAAGCCGGCTAAGGCACGTTCCGCAGCCTCCGGGACTAAGGATTCCTGGCTTCTGTCCAGCTCCTGAACCCTCCCCCGCCATTCTCAGGTGCAAACGCCCCAGATGTCCCCACTGCCTGCCCGCCTAACCGCTCCGCATTCATTCTCCAGTCTTCAAAGTGAGGAAAAATACACCGCTCAGTTTCTCCCTTTTCCAATTTATTTTAAAGTTTTAAAATTACAAAGACAGCAAAATTTTCCCGGCACAAGTAACACTTGTTTAAAAAAGGGGGTGGGGGGGGGACGCGCAAGTGCGCGATTTTTCTATTTTATTAAAAATAAGAGAAAGACAACTGTACAGGTTTTTTCTCCCAGCTCCCGGGTGTGAAACTAAGTACTAGCCCTAGATATGTATATATACACAAACACACACATGCACACAGATCTAGCTCTGTAAAACTACTTAGCAAATCCCAAATCGACTGCAGTAAGTCTTACTATCCACTGCCCGCCCACTCCCCCTCCCCCTCCCGCAGCTACAACTACTTATAATAAAGGACTCAAAAAGAGATCGGGAGGTTTTAAGTGGCCGCAGCCCCACCAAACCAAGCAAAGACACCTCTTGTACAGGAGGAACAAAAATCCAGAGGAAAAGAAAAGTCTTCCTAGGACACAATCCATCGATTGCGTGGAAAAACCTAAGTTTCAACAGGGCACACTGAGGCACTTGGCTGACTCCCCACCCTTCCCCTGAAGTTTTCACTCCGGTTTAACAAGAGAATTTGCTGAAGCCACAAAGATCCCCCAATGGCTACATCCTAGCTGACTGGGAGAAACTATGGCTTCTCCCATCCAGCTGTCACTTGGACCCCACTCCCCTTCCCTAAGAAAATAGGGAGGCCGAAAGCGCAAACTAACAAAAATGAGAAGGAAACTGGGTTTGGGCCCCCACTGCTCACCACTGGGAGGTGGAAGTCAGCCCGGTGGCGGTTTTTTTCCCCCTCCTTCCTTTGCCGGCTGGCTGCTCCCTACCACCTCTCTCCTGCTGGCCAAAGGTTCTGAAACTCTCACAACGGGTGCCCAACTCAAAGAAAACTCACTCACCCTAAAGATATTCCTGCTAACCTCACAATTCCTGGGTTCCCTCTCATCTAGCCAGAACAAACTGCCTTGTGTCTTCTCCCCACCCACATCTACCTTCATGGCAAACAAGCCAACAAAACACACAAGCCCCCCCCGCAAATCCCTAACCCCGTAAGTAGGTTAATAGCAAAACAAAATATAAGTACATTCTCATCATTAGATTGGTTGTTGCTGTCCTTGCACAACTGGTTAAGGAAAAATGAATTATTCTGTAATTTCTGAAGAATCCAAATCCTGTCTCTTATAAAGTCAGAACAGAAGGGGGCAAAAGGTGGTGGTGAGCATCAAGAGAGAAAAAAGGAGAAAATTATTTACAGAAAATAGGAGACAGGAGGGAGTGTCCGCAAGAAAAGACTTCATTGTCACTTCTTCTTGCCGGCCCTCTTGGCACTGGACTTTGCTTTGGGTTTCACTGGTTTGGCCTTTTTGGGCTTGGATGCCTTGACCGGCTTGGCTTTGACAGTCTTGGGTTTTTTGGCTTTCTTGGGCGTGGCAGCCAGCTTCTTCTTGGCCTTCTTGACCGGGGTGGCTTTGGGTTTCTTGGTTGGGGCTTTGGAGGCAGCCTTCTTGGGCTTGGATGCCTTCTTTGGCGTGGCTACCTTCTTGATTTCCTTCTTGGTCTTCTTGAAGGCCACTGACTTCTTGGGTTCGTCGCTCTTGGCTAGCCGGAAGGACCCCGAGGCCCCCACCCCTTTGGTCTGCTTGAGGACACCGGTGGTGACCAGGCGCTTGATGGACAACTTGATCTGCGAGTCAGCGTTCTCACCCACCTTGTAGTGGCTCTTGATATACTTCTGAATGGACTGGCGCGAGGAGCCAGCGCGGTTCTTCTCGGCCTGGATGGCAGCCACGATCATGTCTGAATACTTGGGGTGGTCTGTGGACTTCTTGGAGGCCTTGGCCCGCTTGGGCTTGGCCGCAGGGGCGGACGTGGAATTCTCGGTCATGGTGGCCTGTCTGGTCCGGCTGTTGAAGGCGCCTTCCAAAGGGCCAGCCCTCGTCGGAGGCTGAGCAAAGCCTGCCTCGGGATCTGCTCCTGAGCCCCTGACTACCGGGCCAGTCTGGAGTGCGGCTCCCGGGGATGCGAGCGAGGAGTCGCTGCTTTTCCTCCCCGGCTCGGGTGTCGGGAGAGCTCGCCGAGCCGGCTTTGCGAGGCCCAGCCCCGCCGGTCTGTCGCTTGGTCTCGGCACCGGGCTCGGGCTCTGCCTCTGCCTCTGCCTCTGCCTCCGCCTCCTCTGCCTCCCTTTTCCCAGCTCCGCGTCTGGCGCTTGGGCGGCGCATCCGGGTATTTAGCGGCGGCGGGCGGACCGCGGTGAGGACAGGGCTGCTGGCTGCCTGCTCCCGGCCCGGAATGGCGCTGCGCCGCCGCCATCTGTGTTTCTTCCGCCGAGCAAATCCGACCTTTCCCCCCGGCCCGGGCCTTCCTGCTCCCCGCCGCCGCCCTGGGCCGCTGCCTGGCTCCCTGGGCTTCCCCGCCGGGCGGCCCGCTGGCCCGGCCGCCGCCCCCCGCGCCCGCCACGCACCCCAAACGGCGCCGAGGACCGCTGGTGTGCCGGCACATTTCCCCTTTGCGGGGGGCTGGCTCTGCGGGGCTAGGGAGCCTCGGTGCGGGAAACCCCCCGTAGCAAAGCTCTCCCCTGAGGCTACCGGGGGCTCTGCTCCCGGCCCGCTGCGGGGTCCCCTAGCCCGGTGGAGCTGCCGGAAAGCGGCCCCAACTAACACACGCGGCCCCGAGCTGGGCGACTCCCAGCCGGGCCGAGCCGGGACAGGGGGGAGGGGTCGCTCCCCCGGGGTCCGGTCACCTCTCGGGGGTCACCCCGCCACCGGTCCCTCCACACCTCTACCCCCTCTGTCCATGGGGCCCCCAAGGAAACTTTCCCTGAAAGAGTTGGAAGGGTACTTTCAAACTTTGTCCCTTCCCCCTCCTCTGCCGTCTCTCCCCCAGCGCGCCCCCCGACCTCTGCCTTGAGGTTCCCTCCTGAGGCCGAACCCCCAGTGCTGCCCGGACCCTCTGAGAGATGAGGAGGGCCTCCCGGGTGGCCTCTTCTCCTCAAAGACCCCTACATCTCCCATATACCCTAATCGGGAATTCATTTGTGTGCTTCTCTTAGCCTGGAAGTTTTGGGGTGTCAGAGACAGAACTCGCTGCCCCCCATCCGTGAGGCCCAGCCTGGGGGTTCAGTCCCCGTCCCAAGGCTCCTTGAAGGCAATGTGGGGGCGGGGGAGGGCGGTCCACAATGGAGAAGCTGCCCCAGAAGCTCTAACCAGGGACGGTCCGGGGGGCCCCTGTAATGAGGAGAGGCCCTGAGTGCTTTGGGGACTTGGGAAAGCGGGGCGCTAGGGTAGAGGTCGAGGAGGGGGTTATGTCCCTTGGGTTGTGACCTGTCCTCGGAAAGTGTGGAGTTGTTTAGAGAGCCGTGGCCGCGACCACCGCCATTTTGCTGGGAAGATGCGATGTCTTTGTTAAAATGCACACAGATTTTCCCGTGCTGCTTGGCAGGTGTAGACGAGGCGGACACGGGGCGCCACTGTCTGTAGGGAGTTCTGAAGCTCGAGGGGCTTTAGGGGCCCAGAGGCCAGCAGGAGAGACCTCAGAGACCCTAGGACCCCTTGTCTGCGGCCGACCTCCTACTCACGTGCCGGGTCCGCTTGGCAGCGGCCCTGGGCTGAGATTCTGCGACGTTTGCTCCCTGGGCCCCTCTCCCACAACCCCGCTTTTATTCCCTAAGCATAGAGGCCGGTCACTGTTCACTTAAACAATACCCTGGGAGTGGGAGTTTGTTGCTGGTCAAAATGATGAACGCATCCCGGTATGGTCCAAGAGCTGTTTGCAGACACAGTGGGCTACTGGGGAGGGGTAAAGGGGAGGGGTTCGAGGGTTTTGATGTTGGGGACGGGATCGTAGCTGCGTGGGTGTGGGAGGGCTCCTACTGGACCTGGGAGTCTCTGAAGCCAGGACAAATTAATGGGTTTCCCCCGCACGCCAAGGGATGGATTAATCCAAATGATTAGGGGAGGAAGGGGGAGGGGGAGCGCAAGACTCGGTGTCAGATGCCTTCTCTCTGGGCTTATCTCCGTGGCACAGGCGGGGAAGGGAAGCAATGGGGGGTCAGGTTAGTTCAAAAGGTCAAGGTTCGTCTTTTGATGGTGTCAATTTCTCTTAAGTTTCGTCATTTGAAAACACAACATTCTGGTGGCTTTGTTTTGGTTATTTTCAAAGACAACTCGGGTTCCCATTAAGACCTGGTTGGGTTAATACGCACCCAAATAGCCCCCCCTCCCCGTATCCGAGATGTTCCACCCTGAGAGCCCAGAACCATGTCACCCCATCCCCCGCCCCAGATCCGTGCATGTCTTAAAGACTGGATGAATCCAATGACACGACGATCAATAATTTTATTTGCACAGCGCTTTACAGTTTGCACAGTGCTCCCCACCGGTTTCTGGATCCTTTGCGCCTCCTGCCTTTGATCACTATCCCCATCACCCCTATTTTACCGCGGAGGCCCGGGACTTAGAAGGATGGATTGGGGGCGGGGTACTGTAAGGCTCAGCTCCCTGACACCTGGGCGTTCATTTCATTTTGTATCTCTCCTGTCCCTTCTCCCCGCCCATCCCAGCGACCTGTAAATTCCCGGAACTGAAGCCAGAATTGGGGAAAGGGGTTGCCTCGGGTTGCAGGGGCTTCCAGCTAGTGGACACCCCTTCTCCCGCCAGGCGGCGAGGTTCACCGCCCCTTCCCCTGTTCCGGGGAGTTGGAGGGGAAGGGAGGGGGTTCCCTGGGGCTTGGGCGCAGAGGCCGAAGCCGAGGCGGGCAAGACGAGGAAAGACGGCCTCCAATTGGCTTGGCCTCGCCTCGCCTCGCCTCGCCTCGCCTCCCCTCAGGGACACTGCAGAGCTGGGGGGCTTCTTCACTGCAGCCGGACCCCGCCTGGGCACCCAGGCAGGCGGCTCTCGGGTCCCCACCGGGCGCAGAGCCATCTTCCAGCTGGCGGACTGCGCAACCTCCCCCGCCCCCTTTAACGCGAGGCTCTTGAAACCCCAGGAACGGCGGAACCGCGGCAACTGCTCCTGGGAAATGTAGTCCCCGGCGCCGCGCCCCCTGCCCGCGACCCTCGGCAGCCGTCGCGCCCCCCGGGCGTGAGGAGGGGGTCGGACAGCTGCTGTGCCGTGGCGCGGGGAGGGTCCCCCGCTGTCTCTCTCGGGCCTCAGTTCTTCCACCTGTCGGCTCTACCTGTCTCTGGGGTTAGTGAGAGGGGGAAATGAATTCCTTCATGGAAAAGTATAAATCGCATTAGAATGCCAGGGGTCGTGTCCTTACTAATGGGTGTGTTTGTGCGTGCGCGCGCGTGTGCCTGAGCCCTTGGCACGTGACACCTCCACGTTACAGACAGGAGGCTCCCACCCCCACCCCTATGTTTAATGACTTGCCCAGGGATGATAGACTCTCAAGGCAATGCCCTGTTCACTGCACCACCTGTGGTCTTGTGGCATTCTGGGCTTTGTAATCTTTTTTTTTTTTTTTTTTTTTTTTTGAGATGGCGTCTTGCTCTGTCGCCCAGGCCAGAGTGCAGTGGCGCGATCTCGGCTCACTGCAACCTCTGCCTCCCGGGTTCAAGCAATTCTCTGCCTCAGCCTCCCGAATAGATAGGATTACAGGTGTCCACAACCACGCCCAACTAATTTTTTGTATTTTTAGTAGAGACGGGGTTTCACCATCTTGGCCGGACTGGTCTTGAACTCCTATCCTCGTGATCCACTCGCCTCGGCCTCCCAAAGTGCTGGGATTACAGGCATGAGCCACCGCTCCTGGCTGGTTTTGGAATCCTAATGCATTCCTTAATATGTGCCAGGCACTGGGATGGGCTCTGTGATATGGCCATAAACCAAAGTGACAAGAGAGCCCTGCCCTTGTGGAGCTGAGGTTCCCTGGAAAAGATAGATACACAATAGACTACATAAAGAAGTAAATTAGGCCAGGTGCGGTGGCTCACGCCTGTAATCCCGGCACTTTGGGAGGCCGAAGTGGGTGGATCACCTGAGGTCAGGAGTTTGCGACCAGCCTGGCCAACATGGTGAAACCCTGTCTTTACTGAAAATACAAAAATTAGCCGGGCGTGGTGGGGGGCCCCTGTAATCCTAGCTACTTGGGAGAATGAGGCAGGAGAATCGTTTGAACTAGGGAGGCGGAGGTTGCAATGAGCTGAGACCACGCCATTGCACTCCAGCCTGGGCGACAAGAACAAAACTCCATCTCAAAAAAAAAAAAAAAAGTAAATTATATAGTATGCTGGAAAGTGGCAATTGCAAAGAAACAACTGGAGCAGGGTTGGGGGTGGATATAGGCAGTGTCAAATGGTGGTGGTTTGCAATTGTATTTTTTGTTGTTCGTTGTTGTTTTTTGAGACGGAGTCTCACTCTGTTGCCCAGGCTGGAGTGCAGTGCCGTGATCTCAGTTTGCTGCAATCTCCGCCTCCTGGATTCAAGCGGTTCTCCTGCCTCAGCCTCCTGAGTAGCTGGGGTTACAGGTGTGCGCCACCACGCCCGGCTAACTTTTTTTTTTTTTTTTGAGATGGAGTCTCACTCTGTCACCCAGGCTGGAGTGCAGTGCCGCGATCTCGGTTCACTGCAACCTCTGCCTCCTGGGTTCAGGCAATTCTCATGCCTCAGCCTCCCGAGTAGCTGGGATTAGAGGCTCCCACCACCACGCCCAGCTAATTTTTGTATTTTTAGTGGAACGGGGTTTCACTATGTTGGCCAGGCTGGTCTCAAACTCCTGACCTCAAGTGATCCACCCACCTCAGCCTCCCAAAGTGCTGGGATTACAGGCATGAGCCACCACGCCTGGCCCCTTGTTCTACTTTTTGCTCCCTTCTCACTACTGAACTTGACTAGTCTAAAAAAAAAATGGTTCAGATGAATCCCACTACTCGGTATATATCCAAAAGGAAGGAGATCAGCATATTGAAGAGATATCTGCACTCCCATGGTAATTGCAGCACCATTCACAATAGCCAA